>NT_187521.1:0-50258 GCF_000001405.40 Homo sapiens | reverse complement strand
TACCATTCTGGGGTCTGGAGGACAGTGGCCCTCTTCTCATAGCTCCACTAGGCAGTGCCCCAGTAGGGACTGTGTGTGTGGGCTCTGACCCCAAATTTTGCTTTTGCACTGACCTAGTAGAGGTTCTCCATGAGGGTGCCACCCCTGCAGCAAACTTCTGTCTGGGCATCCAGGTGTTTTCATAATCCTCTGAAATCTAGGTAAAGGTTCCCAAACCCTAATCCTTGACTTCTCTGCACTTGCAGGCTCAACACCACATGGAAATTGCCAAGGCTTGGGGTTTACACCTCCTGAAGCAACAGCCCAAGCTCTATGTTGGCCCCTTTCAGCTACTGCTGGAGCAGCTCGGATGCAGGGCACAAAGTCCCTAGGCTGCACACAGAATGGGGACCCTGGGCCTGGCCCAGGAAACCATCTTTTCCTCCTAGGCTTCCGGGCCTGTGATGGAAGGGGCTGTTGTGAAGACCTCTGTCACGTCCCAGAGACATTTTCCCCATTGTCTTGGTGATTAACATTCAGCTCCTTGTTATTTATGCAAATTTCTGCAGTTGGCTTGAATTTCTCCCCGGAAAATGGGATTTTCCTTTCTATTGCATTGAGGCTACAAATTTTCTATTGCATCAGGCTGCACATTTTCCAAACTTTTATGCTCTGCTTCCCTTTTCAAACTGAATGCCTTTAACAGCACCCAAGTCACCTGTTGAATGCTTTGCTGCTTAGAAATTTCTTCTGCCAGATAACCTAAATCATCTCTCTCAAGTTCAGTTTCACAAATCTCTAGGGCAGGGGCAAAATGCCAAGAGTCACCTTTGCTCCAGTTCCCAACAAGTTCCTAATCTCCATCTGAGACCACCTCAGCTTGGACTTTTTTGTCCATATTGCTATCAGCATTTTGGGCAAAGCCATTCAACAAGTCTCTAGGAAGTTCCAAACTTTCCCACATTTTCTTATCTTCTTCTGAGCCCTCCAAACTGTCCCAATCTCTGCCTATTGCTCAGTTTCAAAGTCACTTCCATATTCTCGGGTATCTTTTCAGCAATGCCTCACTTTACTGGTACCAATTTACTATATTAGCCCATCTTCATGCTGCTGATAAAGACATACCCAAGACTGGGAAGAAAAAGAGGTTTAATGGACTTATATTTCCATGTAGCTGGGGAGGCCTCACAATCATGCTGGAAGGCAAGGAGGAGCAAGTCATGTCTTACGTGGATGGCAGCAGGCAAAGAGAGAGCTTGTGCAGGGAAACTCTCCATTATAGAACCATCGTTTCTCATGAGACTTACTCACTCTCATGAGAACAGCATGGGAAAGACCTGCCCCCATGATTCAATTACCTCCCAGTGGGTCCCTCCCACAACATATGGAAATTCAAGATGAGATTTGGGTGGGGACACAGCCAAACCATATCGTAAGTGCTCAATAAATATTTGTCTGTTTTTAAAATTCTACTTTCTGTTTAATGCAATGTTGTGTACAGAGTCAAATAGTTAACAAATATTGTTAAAGATCACTAAATCCTTTTTTTTTCACATGCAGCTTACCCCAGGAGTTTTTGATATTTGGGAGGTCATCACCTCCTCATGTCTGTTAACTTCTGCTTGCCGAAGAGGAGTTACTAATTGCCATCTCAACTTCTTCCCTTTAATTTTAAGCACTCCATGCTGTTTCTATTTTTCATTTTCCATACTCAATCCCATCAGTCCTATGTGCTCTGTCTGCTCTGTTGTGTTTCAACAGCTGCCCTGCCCTATCCTGCTACCCCTCAAAAAACCAAACTTCCCATACTCCTTTTCAAATCAGGAGTTTTCTGTCTAATTGACCATATGAATATGGATATTCCTTAAGTGAACACTTCTTTTTGGGAGTGGGATGTGGTGGGAATGCCTATTTAAAAACTCACATAAACAAAATTATCCAGGAAGCTAATGGTGTACTGGTGTATAAGCATGCACTACTGTTTTGAGAATTCCAACAATTTAAAGCTTCACTGGAGCTTTTTTTTTATTATGGCCTAACTGGAGTTAGGCCATAATAACCTATTCTAGGATACTTACAAAATTGCCCAAGCCCCACTTAAAAACTCAAATCTCACAAAAACTCAAATCTCACATTCCAAAAAAAAAGTGCTAATAATTCTTCCAAAAAAGAGAGCTGAGACCCCTGACATATCAATGGCAACAATACTGTATAAATAATATCCAGACAAAAGGATGGGTCATTTGACCTCTGACCCCTATTCCTCTTTTGAGGGTGTTAGCATGAGATAATATCTTGATGAGATCATTGGGCACCTATCTGTCTTGACTTTAGTATTACAGGAGCTGGGAAAAGGAACTGGGCTGACTTTTTCAGCTTTTACTCATTAAACAGGTCTTCCTTGTCATCTTCTAAGAATGTACTGTGCAACAGTTTGCTCATCAAAGCCAAGGATCTCCTCAGCGATGTGTGATGGTGTCTATTCTGATAGGAGCCTGTTCTTTATCACTAGCCCCACTCTCTTGTTTGTTTTTCATTGATATGGCTGGGAATTGGATGGGTATTTAATGACAATTTATGGTAGTCTGGTATGGCAGACTTATGAAGAGTGACTGGGTTTTGTGATCTCAGCAGAGGTCTGGATACTGAAGTGGGTGTGCTGGGTAGATATAGAAGTGAACAGATGCAGAGCTCACATGCCAGGAGTGTAAGTTTTATACTCCCTGCCTCCTCCCAACTCCTCACATGCAAACCACAGCGAAAGGCAGTAAAAAAGGAGTCCTAGATAAGAAAGGAGTCAAAATGCCCAGTTTCTCTGACCACCCAGGGGCTGTATTGAAATCGTGACCCTCAGGGCAAGGACCCAGCCATGGCCCTTTAGAATGAGAAAGCAGACAGGCCTGGGCTGATCATCAGGAAGAGGGTAGCTATGTTGGGCCCACCTGATTCCTCGGATTCTGGAGGTTTGTTACTCTTCTTCCTGGTACAGAATTCCAGCCTGGGTTGTACAAATAGCCTCTTGTTGCCCTACTTGGACTGGTTCACATGTACGACATCTACAGGGGCCTCTGGTCTATTCATTCCCATGCAGGGGTATGTAAATATCTATAGCCCCACTTTACGATTCCATTAAGGCATCAATCCATTTGCTAGAGTTAAGTGATACTTATGATTCCCTTGAGACCGACAGAGCATGGAAAATGCCTTAAAGTATAGCCAACATCTTGAGTTTGAACTCCAGCTCTTCCAGGAAGAAGCAGCCAACCTGCAGTGGCCACCAAGTCTCCTCTGGCCTCAGTTTCCTGATATGGGCCTGAAAGAATTGGACACCTTTGGCAGTTTTCCAGCTGTATATTTTTCTTTTCTTTTTTTCTTTCATAAAAGAGACAGGATCTTGCTCTGATGCCCAGGCTGCAGTGCCATGATGTGATCACAGCTCACTGCAGCCTTGAACTCCTAGGCTCAAGCAATCTTTCCACCTAAGCCTCCTGAGCAGCTAGGACTACAGGTGTGCACCATCACACCTGACTAATTTTTAAAAATTATTTCTTTTGTAGAGATGTGAGCTTACTATGTTGCCCAGGCTTGTCTAAAACTCCTGGTCTCAAGCAATCCTCCTGCCTTGGACTCTCAAAGCACTAGGATTATAGGCATGACCACCATGCCCAGCCCAAACTGTTTCTTGGTCTCTGCAAAGCAACTCTACTTTTATTTGTTGGAGTACTATGTTAGAATTGGTTTATAAAAGAGATGTCATGGCTAAAAGAAAGTTTAGAAAACCACCAACTAGGTAATCTCCTAGGTCTTGTTAGCCTTTAAAATTTGGGGTATATGAAATTATTGTCCTAGGTATTACAATTGTCACTGCCTACAAAGATCTTAACCATTATCTTTCATGTCTCCAGTTAATTAAATCGATCCTTGAGGAGGAAGGAAGGAAAGAAGAAAAGAGGAAGGAGGGAGGGAGGCAGGGAGGGGGGAAGGAAGGAAGAAGGGAAGGAGGGAAGGAAGGAAATAAAGAAAAACAGAGGAAGGAGGCAGGGAGAAAGGAAGAAGGAGGGAGGAAGGAAGGAAGGAGGGAGGAGGAAAAATACTGTTAAAATTATATTCATGTAAGTTATGTGAAGACCTTTACTTAATGTGTTCAGAATAAATTCATAAATGTTAAATCCAGCTATGGTTTCCAATAGTCAGAAAACAGACCACTTTAATTAATTAACTCTGAAATATCAACACCATTTAATAGTCCTTCACTGTATTAAATAGTGAGAATAACAAATTATTTTTATGTTTACCAGTGTTTAAAAATAATCACTTAAAGTGGACCCAGATGTGGAATTTCACCCCAGTACATCAGTCCACAGTATTCAGAAGCCCTCTGAGTGGGGCAAGCACTGGCGTGTCCAACAGGAGAGAGAGAAAGCCTAATGATATGGCCAAGTAATGGACTCCCACGCACTGGGCAGCTCTTTTCCCTCACCTGGCAGGGATCATTGACATCCTTTTCAATAACTCCACGTGCAAGGGCAGGAAAACAAAAACCTCACATGTCTCTTTTCTTCCCCAGGCAGCAACATGCCTCAGTACGACAAACTCAGAACTACTAGGGTCCCATGAACCTTTCTCCTCTTTCTCTAGGGAGGAACACCAAGGCTGAGTAACTCCAGCTGGGGACAGGACATTGAGAGGTAAGACCACTGGGCTTCCAGACACATCTCCTGGCCCCTCCAGACTCTCTCAGGGTGATTCACAGCAGCTGACCCTGTGGTGATGCTGGAGTCCAGAGTCAGGATCATGACGACTAAAGCAGAGGCATGGAGACGGGGGCAGGGTGTCTGCCTGCTTCCTCTGTGAATCCAAGTCAGGGCCTGTCCTGTGCTCAGCGGTGGACACTAGATGGTGGCTCCTGGAGGAGTGCACCATGGCACAATGGAAGCTGAGCAGGGCACCACCCTGGCAGCGGCACTGCTGGGAGGGAGCTCCTGGGTTGGAACCCTAGGGGAGAGTGGGGTTCCCTTTCCTGGGACCTTCCCAGAGGTCAGCTGGGTGGCCAACACAGAGAGTGGGGGTGTCGGGGGACTAACACAGTGTCTAGCACACAGTAGGTACTCAAGAAATGATACTCCCTTCCCATTGGGAAGTGGTCATGCCAGCTTTCAGAAACTTCTTCCAATAGTGTGAATCAGTAAAGAAAGGAGGCACTGCTTATACATGGTTTTACTTGGGCAAGCTATTTCATCTCTCCATGTTCAGCCAGATGTCTCATCTCCAAAATGGAGATAATAATAGTATCTGCCTTATTTGGCTGTGAAGATTAAAGAATTAATATATGTAAAGTGGTTATAATAGTATCTGGCAAATAGTAAGAATCAATATACATCAGTCTTTATTTTCAGTATCTTACACAATGGAAAGTGTCATCTCTGATTTGGTGCCTAAAACAGTATATGGCTCATATAGTAGGTGTTCCAAGTGAGAAGAAGGAAAAAAGGAGGGAGGAAAGAAATGAGGGTGTGAAGGAAAAAAGGAAGGAGGAGGGAGGGAGGGAGGAAAGAAGGAAGGAAGGAAGGAAGAAAGGAAGGAGGGAAGGAAGGAAATAAAGAAAAAAAAGGAAGGAGTCAGGGAGAAAGGAAGAAGGAGGGAGGGAGGAAGGAAGGAAGGAGGGAGGGAGGAGAAAGGAAGGAAAGAAGAAAAGAGGAAAGAGGGAGGGAGGGAGGCAGGAAGGAAAGAAGAAGGAGGAGGGAGAGAGGGAGGGAGGAAGGAGGGAGGGAGGAAGGAAGAAGGAAGGAAGGAAGGAAGGAGGGAGGGAGGAGAAAGGAAGGAAAGAAGAAAAGAGGAAAGAGGGAGGGAGGCAGGAAGGAAAGGAGGAGGGAGAGAGGGAGGGAGGGAAGGAGGGAGGGAGGAAGGAAGAAGGAAGGAAGGAAGGAAGAAGAAAGAGGAAGGCGGGCGGGAGGAAGGAGGGAGGGAGAGAGGAAGTAGGGAGGAAGGAAGGAAGGAGGAGAGAGGGAGGAGGAAGGGAGGAAAAGAGGAAGGAGGGAGGGAGTGGGGAAGGAAGTAGGAGGAGGGAGAGAGGGAGGGAGGAAGGAAGGAGGGGGGGAGGAAGGAAGAAGGAAGGAAAGAAAGAAGAAAACAGGAAGGAGGGAGGGAGGAAGGAAGGAGGGGGGAGGAAGGAAGAAGGAAGGAAAGAAAGAAGAAAACAGGAAGGAGGGAGGGAGGAAGGAGGGAGGAGGAAGGGAGGAAGGAAGGAAGGACGGAGGGAGGAAGGAAGGAGGGAGGGAGGAAGAAAGAAGGAAGGAAGCAGGAAAGAGGGAGGGAGAAAGGAAGGAGGGAGGGAGGAAGGAAGGATGGAAGGAAAAAAGGTAAAGGATGGAGGCAGTCTATTAACAGGACCTGGAATTCTAGAATCTTCTAGAATTGCCTGCTTTATTCCAGATGTTCCTTTGCTGCCTGCATGGCACCAGGAGTGATGAAGCCACGGTGGCTCCCCTCTGCTCAGGTCTCTGTATCTCTCTCCCTGGCTTGATCTCAGAGGAAGCTTTTTTTGGAGACCAGGGCACTGGACTCAAGGTGAGGAGGGAGATCAGATGCCATTTAGTTCGGAAATAGCTGCCTGCTTGTGTTCCGGATGACTCATCGACCACAGCTGGCCTCCAGTCAGATTCCTCTGTGGAGTGGGAACTAGAATACTGACCTAAATCGGATCCTCGTCAACGCCAGGAGACAGCTCCCTTGGCTGGTGTCTGTTTCCAAGGGTGAATCAAGGAGAATGGCCCTCAGGCTGGGCTTGAGTCGGAGGAAGACGTCCGGATTTGGGAAGGAGGTTGATGCGGCTCCACTCCTTAGTTATTCCTGAGCACAGGCTGGCCGGGACCTGCAGGCAAGGTCTTGTTCAATGAGGTCCTCGGAGGCTCAACGTTGGGCAGACCCAGTTTCAGAAGTCCTGATCTCTGAGATAGGGGTCTCCTACGCACTGCGAAGCCCTTTGCCTCTCTCCGAAGGCAGCCATCATGTTCTGGCTTGCTTTGAAGTTATTTGTATACTTGCTACAGCTTCCTGCTGGGCTGTCAACTCTCTACGGTGGGGACCTTGGTAGTAAACAGGATATCAATAATCATTGTTGAGTGAACGAATGCGTGGAAAGTCACTAGGGCAGAAATAAGCAGGACTTTTCCAGGGGTCAAGGTGGGCACGTCTTTGGATGCAGGCAATGTGAGCCCTGGAAATAGCACCCCCCCGGGAAATAGCGTCCCTTGGAAATAGTCCCCCCCACCCCCAGGAACCAGGAAAGTCCTGCCATGACTCAAAGGAGCGCCGCACAGTGAGAACCCTTTGGGTGCCGGATGCCTCTGGGCACCCTGCTCCTCACACTGTCCCTCATCCCCCGCTGGTTTCTTTTCTGCTACCTGAGAAACTGGCTCTCCTCCCCGACTGCGTGCTTAGGCCAGTGGATCTAGGAAATAACCAGGCCCTCTTAATGCCTGACCCAGCCTGACCCAGCTCTGCTGCTCCACTCATCATATAAACACCAGATGCCTGCAAAGATCACAAAAACTCTGCAGTGTTTTCCATGTAGGAGTGGTGCAGTGGGTTTATGGAGTGTCACACAGAGAGGTGCTGAAAAGTACTTGTCACATCTCCCTGCCTCTCCGCATTTCCTAGCTCCCCCAGCTGCCACGTGCCCCTCATCCCTATAACATCCTCACCAGCAAGTCCTCCCTCTCCACACCATCCTCCTCATCCACAGCGTGCCCTCAGCAGCAGGTCCTTCCTCCCAACATAGCCTTCTTCTCCTCCTTCCTCTACACGTACCCCTCACCCACCACCCCCTGCACCCCCAGGTCCCCTGGTCATCTCAGGCAAGAGGAGCCTCTTGGGGAGTGTCTTCTGCTATCTGCTCAGGCAGGGGGAGGCCCCTGGATTTCTGGCTCCTAAAACCCTCCTCCTTGCTCTGTTTGCTTTCCTGAGGGCTTGGTGCTGGCTTACTTTGCCTCTAGTGAGGAATTTTCTTCTGGATATTGGTGCACGCTTCTCTCCATCTATCTCAAAGAACAACTCCTCATAGCACTGGGTTTGACTCTTGGCGGAGTTTCTTTTATTGGAAGCCCTCATGCCTTTCTCTAGGCTTCTAGCTGTTTCTGCCCCTCAGACTGGCTTCAGAGAAAGGTCAGAGCCCTAGTGGAGTCCAGCAAGCCTAGATTCTCCAAGTGGGAGGGAGTTCAAGTACAACTCCAGCATTCCTGGTGCTAGCTGTTCTCAGGCATTGTCTCTGCTTTGAGACGGAGTCTCACTCTGTTGCCCAGGCTGGAGTGCACTGGCGCGATCTCAGCTCACTGCGACCTCTGCCTCTCGGGTTCAAGCAATTTTGAGCACTGTCTCTTGGGCTACCACCTCACCGAAAGAAGCCATTCTGTTCCTGGCGCTATGTTTCTGCTTAGTAATCATGAAGGTGAGCTGTGATCAGTAATACTCCCCAAAGGCAGGACATGCTGAGACCATTACCTCAGAGTGCGGCCCACCCAAGTCCACTAGAACTGTCCTGGGAACTCACTGAATGGGAGTGAAAATTTTGCACATCACAGATTGCCAAATGACCCTATTGGCCAAAAAAATATAAAGTGCTCCAAAGAAATAATTGTGTGTTTCCACCAACAAGCACTGAGGGTGGCTCTTTCTCCCTTGTTTTTCACATATTTGTTGGCTTACACTAGGCATTTAGAGTCAGTTGTATTCATAAGAAATTGCACTAGTCACCAGAAGAGTAGCTGCAGGAAAAAGGGAGAGAGATGTTCCAAAATTTAATCAGATTTGGGCAACACACCTTGCTTTTTGCAAAAGCAAGCAAACAACCCAAAATCCTGCTTAAGGCAAAGCCTGTTCCTTTCTGTGAAGCAGAAAGAGAAGGCCCTGCTAAAGCTGGATGAAAGCAAAAAGAGATGAGGTGTAGAGGTGTGTCCTGCTCCTGATTGAGCCACTGTGGGTCATGCCTTTTCCCAAAGATGGATTTGTTAGTGTACGGCAAAAAGTC
The DNA here is from genome assembly GCF_000001405.40 of Homo sapiens. Classification (NCBI taxonomy): domain Eukaryota; kingdom Metazoa; phylum Chordata; class Mammalia; order Primates; family Hominidae; genus Homo; species Homo sapiens. Next base: position 41,254 of record NT_187521.1, on the reverse strand, counting down.
AACTGAATCCCCAATAATTCCCTAGAGTTCCCGGCAGGGTTTGGAGGGCTAAATGTATACATGGTTTGTTCCTAAAATTATCTAGTTGGTGCCACAGTGTTTCTGGCTGTGGCTTCCTAAACTACCTTCTAACAGATAGCTCCTTAGGCATTAGGACAAAGGTGAGCTCCTCAGGGCTCCAGGGGTGCATCTGAGGTGAAGCTTTAGGGCCATCGTAATTGTGACCAGCCCAGAGTCCTTGGCAGGGGAATCACGCTGGGTTTGTGTATGTCAGAGTGTATCAACAAGATAATAATGTTGTAGCTTGATGGGAACCTTTCAACATGATCTAGACCAAATTTGTTTTTGGGTTTTTGTCAATCTTTGTTTTGCTTTTAAGATGATTATCTTTAGAAATTCCATGTACTGCTGATGAGAATAAAAATTGATATATCTTTTTAGAAGGTTGATAATATATATCAAAGTTCTGGCCTCTTATTCACCGTTTCTATTTTTTTTTCTAAAAAATAAACTGATGTGAATATAGATAAGCTTCAAAGATGTTCATCTAAGTTTTATTGCTATTAATACACTGGAAATAACCTAAATGTTCATCAGAAGGGAAATGGGAAATAAAGTATGGTGTATTTACACAAAAGATTATAAGACAGCTAAGAAAATAAGTTATTCAATAACACAGGGAAAATGCTAGAGAGGAAAAAAGGCATGCATTTGACAGCCCACATAGTCCGTATGCATACTACATATTCCCTTATGTAGATCATATAACTCAACATATGTGTGTACGTATGTTAGCTACATATTATCTATACCTACCTCATATATATTCAGAAAAAAATTGAATAAACTTCCACTTTTTAAAAGTTTTCATGTGTTCTAACTACCATAAGTAACAACAGTGAGTTATTTTTTCCTTGAGACTTCTCTGACAGAGAAGCTTGTCTGCTTTTAAAATTCGGTTCACTGGGGGATTGGGTTGAAGCCATTCTTTTTTTTTTTTGAGATGGAGTCTTGCTCTGTCACCAGGCTGAAGTGCAGTGGCGTGATCTCGGCTCACCACAACCTCTGCCACCCAGGTTCAAGTGATTCTCCTGCCTCAGCCTCCTGAGAAGCTCGGATTACAGGCACATGCCAGCACATCTGGCTAATTTTTCTATTTTTAGTAGAGATGGGGTTTCACCATATTGGTCAGGCTGGTCTCGAACTCCTGACCTCATGATCCTCCCACCTTGGCTTCCCAAAGTGCTGGGATTACAGGCATGAGCCCTTGCGCCTGGCCAAAACCATTCTTGATGCTTAAGAATAGTTTAAAGGGGCTAAAAAATGAGTCTCTTGTAAACAGGTACAAATGAGAATAAAAATGGGAAACGTCTTCATGAACTAGAATGTGTAAGAGAAGAAGGAAACTTTTCACTTTTAAAATATTTTGACAATTTCTGTTTTTTAAAATGTAAAACTCTTTTAAGTCTGTGCTTTTAATGTCATTGTCCCTTTGTCTTTTTATAAGTATATTTATTAAAGCAACAAAAGTAAATGATCACTCCCATTTTCCATATTTTAAATATTTTGTTTCCTCACATCCTTTTTATTTTTTCTTGCAATATAAATTTTCAGAACATGCTGGTAATGAAACATGGAGAAAGGAGAAGGTGAGAGATGCTTTTAATAACAGTATTGGTTTTCTGCAACCATTCCTTCAGGAATGAAGGAATCCATAGCTAGAGCTCTGAGCTGGGGAGAGTCATGGTTGCTCTTCCACCCAGGTGCCCCTCTCTATTGGTGTTTCAGCAAGGAGCAGTTAGTTCCCTTTTCTTCCTGCTGCTTCTTTAGGATGCTTCTGTCTTTGCTGCAGCCTCATTGCAGCCTTTCCTAGTCCTCTCCCCAATCTCTTCATTTCAGCTGACATAAGGTTTTTTACTTTTCCTTTGAGTATGTGTGAGTGAAGAGGCTATTGTATTGTTATCTGTCTTAGACAGGTGCACAGGCCATCTCCTCACATCCTGGCCAATCTCTGTGGTGCCCTGGCACCTTGGAATGGCAGCTGCTTGAAATGCGGAGGGCTCCCGCCCATGAAGGAGGCTTGTGTTCTGGCACAGTGGTGGGAAAGACAGCAAAACAGCCCCTCAATGCATTGCTTTCATCCCTTTCAGCATGTCATTCACAGGCATCAGCCTCAGGGCGCACTGGTTAGAAATTATTATTTAGATATGGTGTTTACAAATGGGTTTGTAGTTTCCCATTACATATTGTTTATCAATATAAATACTTCTTGGTGTAAATTTATTTGGCTTTGATATGTTAAAGCTCAAATGAACAAACTATGACACAATTCAAGACTTCCCCTTTGTCTCTCAACTTTTTTTCTTTGCCACTGTTTAAAACATGGCCCTGAGCATTTGCACACACCTTTTTAAAAAAAGGTTTTATTTTATTTTATTTCTATTTCCCACCCCCACTGCCCGACAGACCCTAGTATGTGTTGTTCTGCACCACATGTCCATGTGTTCTCATCATTCAGTTCCGACTTATAAGTGAAACATGTGGTGTTTGGTTTTCTGTTCCTGCATCAGTTTGCTGAGGATAATGGCTTCCAACTCCATCTATGTCCCTGCAAAGGACGTGATCTTTTTCCTTTTTATAGCTTGTTCCTTTTATACTATATGCATAGTATTCCATGGTGTATATGTACTATATTTTCTTTATTCAGTCTAGCATTGATGGGCATTTAGGTTGATTCCATGTCTTTGCTTTTGCATTTGCACACACCTTAACTCCTTCTTTTTTTTTTTTTTTTTTTGAGAAGAAGTCTAGCTCTGTAGCCCAGGCTGGAGTGCAGTGGCGCAGTCTCGGCTCACTACAAGCTCCACCTCCTGTTAACCCCTTCTTTAAACCATTGCTTTTTGTAAAACTACAAAGATGGAAAAAACCACACGCAAAACCAAAAACATCGTCAGCAGAAAACTATCAGGCGTCAACCCATTCAAGTCTTGTATTTCACTCCTGGGGGTGGGGACCGTCCTCAGAAGAGCTCTCTGCTGAGCTGAATTTGTGGGAAATACTCATAGGAGAAGCTCACTGATTTTTATTTTAACTTTGATTGCTTATTTAAAGTGAGTGGGCATTAAATGCTCTATTGATAGCAGGATTCTAATTTGGGATTTGTAGCAACCTAATACATCATCTAAGATATGAAGGATGTTTGTAATTTGAAAATCTGTCTCTGGCAGTGTCGTTCTCAAAATTTAAGGCACATGTAACCATGGTACCTGCAGCATTATTTGATTTATTAATGGGATGGACAACATGAAGCACAAAAAACTTTACTCGACCACCCATGGAGCTAGTTGAAGCTATCAAATATGTCAGCTTAACTTGTTAGCATGAACTGGAATCAAAAATCACTTTCACTGCAAAATGTTTAGCTACAGCCCTGCCCAGAAATGATATAGGTAAACCCAAGTTTGTCTTCATCCAAGCACATTACATATTAATTCATAGGATACTTGTCTATGAATTTAAATAGTAGTGATCAAATCACACTGGGATTTGGAGTACATGAGCCCAATTCAGTTATGAGCCATGGGGCCTCTCCTGCATTTGGTGACTGTTCTCTGCTGCTTGCTAGTGGACTGTGGGTTATGGCTAGAGATGATATACTGTGCTCCTGCAAAGGAGGGCCTGGACACTGTTTAAGAGCATAGACTTTCTGAGGTAGAAAGGGTTTTGGAAATCATCTTGTATATCACCCGCAGTTTGGGACAGGAAGGAATAAAACTAAGAGGATGATAGAGAAACAAAAAACTATGGCTATTCTGGGAACACTAAATAGAAGCAACCTAAATATACCTCCAGAAGTGCATAAACAGCCAAAATGACGAGGTCTGTCTCGCAGCTGCAGCTGCAATGAAGCCGAGAGTATTTTAGATTGATGGGACCTGCCTGCATTTCAGAGACATTTCTGGAGGTAAAATAAAGAGGCCACTCCTTCTTGGATATCAGTTTTAAACTTTGGACAAGATTCAGGAAATTATAGTGTCTTTGAAATGACTCCTTTTGGGAAAGGAAATTGTGCCTTTAGGAAAAAAAAATACTTAATTTTAAGAAATAAAAGGCCATGTAAGTGCATCTCAGATCCAAGTGGAAGTTTTTTGGAAAATGTGAGGCTCCTGGGAGAGATGATGGGTGAATTAGGGCATCTGGTAAGGCTATCAGGCAGTTTTGTCAGAAAGGAAGGCATTCAGCACAACAGCAAACTCATGCTTCTCACCATCAAAGCATTGAAAAGACAACCCATAGAATAGGAGAAAATATTTGCAAATTATATATCTAATAAGAAATTAGCATCTAGAATATGTGAAGAACTCTTATAACTCAAAAATAAAAAGACAACCCAATTAAAAAATGGGCAAAGAATCTGAAGAAGTATTTCCCCAAAGAAGATATACCAAGGCCAACAAACACATGAAAAGATGCTTAACGTCATTAGCCATCAGAGAAATGCAAATCAAAACCTCGATAAACATGAGAACACAGACATTTTTTTTGACGTAGTGATTTTAATTCCTTTGGCTCTATACCCAGAAGTGGGGTTACTGGATCATATGGTAGTTCTATTTTTAGATTTGAAGGAACCTCCATACTCTTTTCTGAAATGGTGATATTAATTTACATTCCCACCAACAGTGTGTTGTCCCTGTTACTCTGCACCTTCACCAAACGTGTGCTATTATTCACCTTTTTGGTAACTGCATTCTAACAGGTATGAGGTAATAGCTCATTGTGGTTTTAACTTGCATTTACCTGATAGAGATGTTGAGCATTTTTTCATATACCTGTTGACCATTTGTATCTCTTCTTTTGACAAATGCCTGTTCAGGTCCTTTGCCCGTTTTTTAATTGGATTATTTGTTTTCTTGCTATTGAGTTGTTTGAGTTACTTATTTTTTTGTATATTAGCCCCTTATCAGATGTATGGTTTGCAAATATTTTCTTCCAATCTGTGGATTGTTTCTTCATTCTGTTAGTCATTTCCTTGGCTGTGCAGAAACTTTTTATGTTGATGTAATCCCATATGACTGTTTTTGCTTTTGTTGCCTATGCTTTTGGAGTCAACCAAAAAATCATTGCCCAGACCAATGTCACAAAGTCTTTCTCCTATGTTTTCTTCTAGGAGCTTTACAATTGCAGGTCTTACATTTGTCTTTAATCTACTTTGAGTTGATTTTTTTGTATATAATGTCTGAGATAAGGTCCAATTTCATTCTTCTGCATGTGAATGAACATACAGTTTTCCCAGCACCATTTATTGAAGAGACTGCTCTTTCCCCATTGTGTCTTCTTGGCACTGTTATTGAAAATAAATTGCCCATAAATACTTGGGTTTACTTCTGGGCTTTATATCCTGTTCCACTGGTTGATGTGTCTGTCGTCATGCCAGTGCCATTACGACTTTTGTTTTTTTTCTTTTCGTTTTCTTTTTTTCGAGACAGGGTCTCACTCTGTTGCCCAGGCTGGAGTGTGGTGGTGCAATCATAGCTCACTGCAGCCTTAAACACCCGAGCTTAAGCAATCCTCCCATCTCAGCCTCCAGAGTAGCTGGGACTATAGGCATGCACCACCATAACTGGCCAGTTTTTAATTTTTTTTTTTTTTTGTAGAAATAAGGACTCACTATGTTGCCCAAGCTAGTCTTGAACTCCTGGAATCAAGGTATCCTTCTGCCTTGGTCTCCCAATGTTCCGGGATTATAGACATGAGCCATTGCACCCAGCTGCCATGCTGTTTTGATTACAATAGCTTTATAATATATTTTGAAATTAGGTAGTGTGATACCTCCAGCTTTGTTCTTTTTGCTCAAGATATCTTTGGCTATTCAGGGAATGGTGACCACAGTTAATATTAATGTATTATATATTTCAAAATTGCTAAAGAATAGATTCTTTACATTCTCACCACAAAAAATGGTAAGTTAATGAGGCATGTTAACGATCTTGACTTAATCTTTCTACAATGTATGCATAGATCAAAACATCACATTGTACCCCATACATATATATAATTATTAATTGTTGATGAACAAAACTAATTAATTTTAAAAAAAACACAATGAGGTACCACTTCATACCTGCTAGAATGGCTAGAATAAAAAAAGCAGACAATAGCAACTGTTGGAGAGGATGTAGAGAAATTACAGTCCTCATCCACTGCTGGTGGAAATCCACTTTGGAAAATGGCCTGGCACTTCCTCAAAAGAGTAAACAGAATTACTATACTACCCAGCAATTCCACTTCTAGGTATATACCCATAAGAAAAGAAAACATATGTCTGTACAGAAACTTGTGCATAAATGTTCAGAGCAGCATTATGCATAATAATTCAAAGTGAAATCCTCCCCAAAACATCAATGTTCTGCACTCTCATCCAGCACACTTTTCCTAGGAAATGTTTCATCTTTGTCAAGAAATACTGTACATAATCCATATAATCAACATGAAAATGACCAAAAAGCCTTCACAGGAAATCATTTCTTACCTGAGCAAAAGGTGCTAATCAAGAACACCTGTTCACTGCTGTGCTAGGTATTTCCTTCCCTTTTCCTCTAAAATCACTCTGCAGAGTTGAGACTCACAGGTTAACCATCTGTCAGATGCCCATCCTGTGTTTTATGTTTACAGCATATCACAGGTGACAGAAAAATCTGGCAGAGGCTTCTCACAGCCAAGTGCTAATTATGACCAGAGTTTGTGTAGCTTATTGGAGGAATAAACCTATTTGATCTTGTCAAGAATAAAAAATGTAGGTGTTGTTCAGGTGTTTCTGTTTTTCTTGTTGGTTTTTCAACACAACAGATGTGTTATTGCTGCAAACATGCTCACATTACAACCTGATGCTGGTGCTTTTGAAATTTCTTTTCCCTCAAATTGATGTTATTGAGTTAAGGTCAATGAAGATTCTAGCATCTCTGCTATGCCCCACTTTGCAAGGACTGCAGCCCTCCGTGGGGAGTGAGAGCAGGCTTGAGGGCTGAGCTCTGCTGAGCTGCCACCCTCTACCCTGGGGTTCTTGTGGGCAGGAGAACTGCCCCTCTCACTTCCCCCAGCACCCTTCTTGCTCCCTCTCCACATCAGGGAGTGATCATGGAGGGGGTTCATCCTCCCGTTAGTCATTCACTCATTTGTTCATTGGTCCAATAAATGTTTTATGAGCACTCACTATGTACCAGGCACTGTGCTGGAGATTGATTGACTCTCCTTAACCGAACTCTCTCCTTGACCAGGTTCCTCTGAGTCCTCTTCTCCACTAGCCCTCACCTTTGCCCTGGAAGGACTTGAACAAACACTAATAGAGTTTCTAACAGCACAAAGCCTTATCCCCCAGATGGCCTTCCCCTCCCCCTTGAAGTGCCTGTCTGAGAAAACTCAAGGCTGCCCAAAGAGTTTACTGTTTGTTCCAGCAACACCTCATGATAGGGTCCCTGTCTCCCAGCCTCAGTGGGAGTGGGTAGGAGCCTAACTTTGATATACACCAGTTAGCAAACCCAGATGAGTTTCACATGGATCAACTTCCCCTTATCACTTTTTATAACTTTTATAATTTTTCATTTCCCTAACTCTGCTCAAGACCCTTTAAAATGCCCAGTCACCTCTGCATTAATCAGATTGAAGCTCAGTTCTTTCCTTTACTGACAGCAGTTATTGCATAAAATCTGTTTTTACTGCCTTAACTAATGTCCAGCTATGTTTATCTTTGTCTTTCTTTTTTTTTCCCAATATGGAGTCTTGCTATGTTGCCCAGGCTGGAGTGCAGTGGCACTATCTTGGCTCACTGCAACCTCCGCCTCCCAGGTCCAAGCAATTCTCCTGCCTCAGCCTCCGGAGTAGCTGGGATTACAGGCATGTGCCACCACGCCTGGCTAATTTTTGTATTTTTTTAGTAGAGACGAGGTTTCACCATCTTGGCCAGGCTGGTCTCGAACTCCTAACCTCAGGTGATCCGCCCACCTCAGCCTCCTGAAGTGCTGGGCTTACAGGTGTGAGCCACCACGCCCAGCCTATGTTTGTCTTTGACAGGATACAGCAATACAGACAACATTTCCAGAATCTGCCCTCCTCGGGCTTACATGTTAGTGGGGAGCCAGGCAGTGAACAAGTAAAAGAAGGATGTTGGGTGATGTTGATGCAGGGCAGGCAAACCCCCAGATTGGGGCTTAGTGCCAGGAGGGCTCTTGGCTTCACTCAGGGAAGAATTCAAGGGTGAGCCAGTGGTGTTAGGCAGCAACTTTTATTTTAGTGGCAGAGTGTACAGCAGCAGCAGCAGCAGAGGTACTGCTCACTGCAGAGCAGGGCTACCCCACAGGCAGTGTGCCCAGGGTAGCAGCTTGGAGGCAGTTCTGCAGCCATATTTATATCCACTTTTAATTACATGCAAATTAAGGGGAAGATTACGCAGAAATTTCTTGGAAAAGAGGAGTAACTTCTGGGTCATGAGGTTGTTGCCATGGAAGGGGGCAGTAATTTTTGGGTGTTGCCATGGCAATGGTAAATTAACATGACACACTGGTGGGCGTGTCCTAGGGAAAGCTGCTTCTGCCCCATCCCTAGTTCTCAGTTTGGTCCAGTGTCTGAGCCCCTCCTCTGGGGAGTCCAGTCCCACCTTGTATTAGTCCATTTCCACACTGCTGATAAAAACATACCCAAGACTGGGTAATTTATAAAGAAAAAGAGGTTTAATGGACTCACAATTCCACGTGGCTGGGGAGTCCTCACAATCACGGTGGAAGGCGAAAGGCATGTCTTACATGGTGGCAGACAAGAGAGAGAATGAAAGCCAGGTGAAAGGGGTTTCCCTTTATAAAACCATCAGATCTTGTGAGACTTATTCACTACTATGAAAACAGTATGGGGGAAACCGCCCCCATGATTCAGTTGTCTCCCACTGGGTTCCTCCCACAACACATGGGAATTATGGGAGCTGCAATTCAAGACGAGATTTGGGTGAGGATGCAGCCAAACCATATCATACTTTCTATCTCACTGTGGCAGGTACGTGGTTGCAGGGGGGTATTAATGGGTTTTCAGGATGGTCTCTAGAGAAAGTAAAATTGGACCGAAACCTAAAGGAAGATAAGCTAATCTTTTAAAGAGTGGGGAGAAGGGCCTTCCAGTCAAAGGGGACACAATGAAAAGGAGCTTGATGCTATAAGAATAGAGCAATAGATAAGGCCAGTGGAATAGGCAGGAATCCACCCCACATGCCTTGAGCCTTGATACATTTAGATTTTAAAAGCCAGAGTAATGCTTGTGATTTGGAAGGGGGGCAAATAAGCCTGAATAAAGTCAAGTTTGAATCAAGAAATTGGACTGTGGAATTGGATGGAAGTGAGGCGAGAGATGAGGGCAATGCCGTACTCAGATGGTTCTGTGGCTCAAAGTGGCTGGAGCACACAGGAGGCTGGGATGGTCTGATTTTTTTGACAAAGGCTGTCATACTTGCTCCTAGGTAGGCACAGCCTGGAAAGCAGTGGGCAAAGAAATGGGAGACAGTGGAAGGGTTCTGTCCACACGTGTCCTTGGGTTACTTTCCACTTGCTGATTTGCTTCCCGGGTGCAACTGGTTTCCCTTTTTCTCCCAGAGCTTGAGTGCAGTCTTGATGAGCCACAGCTATGTGCCCTGCTCAGAAAGAAGTGTCTTGGGGTATCCACAGTAAAGCTGCCTGGAGGATGCTGAAAGTATGGTGGTCAAGAGTGGCTCCCAAAATATATGCTCTTTCCAAACATGTAGAAACCCGTCATCTGTCTGTCGCCCTAATTGCTCCTCAGCATAACTGGGTGCAGTTGTGGGCTAACAGGACAGGAAACAGGAACATGGGTTAAAAACCCATGTTTGAATTGGAATATTCCAAGACCAGGATGTGTTGGAGGTGAATTCTGATTCACTATTAGAATCACCTCCTCCAATATCACTGTAGAAGAGATTCTGGAGATGCCTAGAGGGTCTCTCATGTTGACACCCACATATGTTTCTAAGCCTTTAAGGGGTCTTGGGGACATCTCTGTGGGTCTTGAAGCTGCTCTTTCTTTTCTTTTTTTTATTGCATTAATTTTTTAAAAAATTTCCATAGGTTTGAGGGGGAACAGGTGGTATTTGGTTACATAAGTAAGTCCTTTAGTGGTGATTTGGGAGATTTTGGTGCATGCATCACCTGAGCAGTAAACGCTGAACCCAATTTGTAGTCTTTTATCCCTCACCCTCCTCCCACCCTCTCTCCTGAGTCCCCAAATTCCACTGTATTATTCTTATGCCTTTGCATCCTCATTGCTTAGCTCCCACTTATGAGTGAGAACATGCGATGTTTGTTGTTTTCATTCCTGAGTCACTTCTCTTAGAATAATAGTTACCAGCTCCATCCAGGTAGCGCAAATGCCATTAGTTCTTTCCTTTTTATGGCTGAGTAGTATTCCATAAACAATGTGTTTATCCACTCATTGATTGATGAGCATTAGGGCTGGTTCCATATTTTTTGCAATTGCGAATTGTGCTGCTATAAGCTTGCATATGCAAGTATCTTTTTTTTATAATGACTTCTTTTCCTCTGGGTATATACCCAGTAATGGGACTTTTGGATCAAATGGAAGTTCTACTTTTATTTCTTTAACTATTAAACTTTAAATAAAACACTGTTTTCCATAGTGGTTGTACTAGTTTACATTCCCACCAACAGTGTAGAAGTGTTCCCTTTTCACCATATCCATGCCAACATCTATTATTTTTTGCTTTTATGATTTATGGCTATTCTTGCAGGAGTAAGATGGTATTGTATTGCGGTTTTCATTTACATTTCCTTTATCATTAGTGATGTTGAGCATTTTTTCATATGTTTGTTGGCCATTTGTATATCTTCTTTTGAGAACTGTCTATTCATGTCCTTACCCCACTTCTTGATGGGACTGTTTGTTTCTTTCTTGCTAATTTGTTTGAGTTTGTTGTAGATTCTGGATATTAGTCCTTTGTAGGATTACAAGTTGTGAAGATTTTTCTCCCACTCTGTTGGTTGTCTCTTTACTCTGCTGACTCTTCCTTTTGCTGTGCAGAAGCTCTTTAGTTCAATTAAGTCCCACCTATTTATTTTTATTTTTGTTGCATTTGCTTTTGGGTTCTTGGTCATGAAGTCTTTGCCTAAGCCAATGTCTAGAAGGGTTTTTCTAATGTTATCTTCTAGAATTTTTATAGTTTCAGATCTTTGATTTAGTTCCTTGATCCATTTTGAGTTGATTTTTGTGTAAGGTGAGAGATGAAGATTCAGTTTTATCCTCCTATATGCAGCTTGCCAATTATCCCCACACCATTTGTTGAATAGGGTGGCCTTTCCACACTTTATGTTTTTGTTTGCTTTGTCCAAGATCAGTTGGCTATAAGTATTTGGGTTTACTTCTGGGTTCTGTATTCTGTTCCGTTGGTCTATGTGCCTATTTTTATACCAGTACCATGCTGTTTTAGTGACTATGGCCTTATAGTATAGTTTGAAGTCAGGTAGTGTGATGCCTCTAGATTTGCTCTTTTTGCTTAGTCTTGCTTTGGCTATGTGAGCTCTTTTTTGGTTCCACATGTTAGGATTGTTTTTACTAGTTCTGTGAAGAATGATGGTAGCATTTTGATGGGAATTTCATTAAATTTGTAGGTTGCTTTTGGCAGTATGGTCATTTTCACAATATTGATTCTACCCATCCATAAGCAGGGGATGTGTTTCCATTTGTTTGTGTTGTCTATGATTTCTTTCAGCAGTGTTTTGTAGTTTTCCTCGTAGATGGCTTTCACCTTGTTTAGGTATATTCCAAAGTATTTTATTTTATTTGATTTTTGCAGCATTTGTAAAAAGGGTCGAGTTCTTGATTTGATTCTCAACTTGGTCGCTGTTGGTGTATAGCACAGCTACTGATTTGTGTACATTAATTTTGTATCCTGAAATTTGCTGAATTTATTTAACAGTTCTAGGAGCTTTTTGGAGGAGTCTTTAGGGTTTTCTAGGTTTACGATTATATCATCAGCAAACAGCAACAGTTTGCCTTCCTCTTTACTGATCTGGATGTCCTTTATTTGTTTCTCTTGTCTGATTGCTCTAGCTAGGGCCTCCAGTACTATGTTGAATAGAAGTAGTGAGAGTGGGCATCCTTGTCTTGTTCTCAGAAGGAATGCTTTCAACTTTTCCCCATTCAGTATTATGTTGGCTGTGGATTTGTCATAGACAGTTTTTACTACACTGAGGTGTATCCTTTGTATGCTGATTTTGCTGAAGGTTTTAATCATAAAGAGATGCTGGACTTTGTCAAATGCTTTTTCTGCATCTATTGAGATGATCATGTGATTTTTGTTTTTAATTCTCTTTATGTGGTATTACATTTATTGACTTGCATATGTTAAACCATCCCTGCATCCCTGGTATGAAACCCACTTGATTATGGTGGATTATCTTTCTGATATGCTGTTGGATTTGGTTCACTAGCATTTATGATTTTTGCATCTATGTTCATCAGAGATGTTGGTTTGTAGTTTTCTTTTTTTATTATGTCCTTTCCTGGTTTTGGTATTAGGGTGATACTGACTTCATAGAATGATTTAGGAGGATTCCCTCTTTCTCTGTCTTGTGGAATAGTGTTAATAGGATTGGTACCAATTCTTCTTTGAATGTCTGATAGAATTCAGCTGTGAACCCATCTGGTCCTGGACTTTTTTTTTTGTTGGTAATTTTAAAATTATTATTTGAGTCTTGCTCCTTGTTATTGGTCTGTTCAGGGTTTCTAATTCTTCCTGACTTAATCTAGGAGGGTTGTATATTTCCAGGAATTTATCCATCTCCTCTAGGTTTTCTAGTTTATGTGTGTAAAGGTGTTCACAGTAGTAGTCTTGAATGATCTTTTGTATTTCTGTGGCGTTGGTTGTAATATCTCCCATTTCATTTCCAGCTGTGCTTATTTGGATCTTCTCTCTTCTTTTCTTGGTTAATCTTTCTAATGGTCTATCAATTTTATTTATCTTTTCAAAGAACCAGCTTTTTGTTTCATTTGTCTTTCGTATTTTTTTTTGTTGTTGTTTCAATTTCATTTAGTTCTTCTCTGATCTGGGTTATTTCTCTTCTTCTGCTGGGCTTGGAGGTGGTTTGTTCTTGTTTCTCTAGTTCCTTGAGGTGTGGTCTTAGATTGCCTATTTGTGCTTTTTCAGACTTTTTGATGTAGGCATTTAAGGCTATGAATTTTCCTCTTAGCACTGCCTTTGCTTGTATCCCAGAGGTTTTGATAAGTTGTGTCATTACTGTAGTTTAGTTCAAAGGTTTTAAATTTTCATGTTGATTTTATTTTTGACCCAGTGATCATTCAGGAGCAGGTTATTTAATTTTCATATATTTGCATGGTTTTGAAGTTTCCTTTTGGAGTTAATTTCCAGTTTTATTCCACTGTGGTCTGAGAGAGTACTTGACATAATTTCAGTTTTCTTAAATTTATTGAGACTTGTTTTGTGGCAATCATATGGTCTATCTTAGAGAAAATTCCATGTGCTGATGTGTTGGAGGCTGCACAAGTATTTCTTATGATTAGGCATAATTGAAGCCTGTTAGCAATAATGAGAACCTGTGAGCAAGTAAACAGCTAACCAATCATTACCTCCTCCTTCTTGCTCTTGTTACCTAATATATAAGAAGGGCTGTGGAAGCTCGGCAGCTGCCTTTGCTCACTAGAAGCAGGGAGCCCTTTTCTTTTCTTTTTCTCTTCTCTTCTTCTTCCCCATGCTAGCCTTTCCTTAAAATAGTTACTTTTGTTTTTTGTTACCATTTCTACGTTCATCCCTTTGTTCAGTCTTGTAATGACGGTCTCAAGCAGTAACAGTAATAATTGCTGCAATGAGGGTCTCAAGTAGTAGCTGTGGCAGTCGGCCACACTGATGAAATAGAATGTATATTCTGTGGTTGTTGGGTAGAATATTCTGTAAAATATCCGTTAAGTCAAGTTGTTCTAGGGTATAGTTTAAACCCAGTATGTCTTTGTTGACTTTCTGTCTTGATGATTTGTCTAGTGCTGTCAGTGGAATATTGAAGTCCCCCACTATTATTGTGTTGCTATCCCATTTCTTATGTCTAGCAGTATTTGTTTTATAAATTTGGGAGCTCCAGCATTAGGTGCATGTATATTTAGGATGATTGTGACATTTTCCTGTTAAGGCCTTTCATCATTATATAATGTCCCTCTTTGTCTTTTTTAACTGCTGTTGCTTTCAAGTTTGTTTTGTCTGATATAAGAATAGCTATTCCTACTCACTTTTGGTGTCCATTTACATGTAATATCTTTTTCCACCCCTTTACCTTAAGTTTATGTGAGTCCTTATGTGTTAGGTGAGTCTCTTAAAGGTAGCAGACACTTAGTTGGTGAATTCTTATCCATTCTGCAATTCTGTATTTTTTAAGCAGAGCATTTAGACCATTTACATTCAATGTTAGTATTGAGATGTGAGGTACTATTCAATTCATCATGCTATTTGTTGCTTGAATACCTCGGTTTTTTTGTGTGTGTTTTTGTTGTATAGATCCCGTGAGACCCATGCTTTAAAGAGGTTCTGTTTTGGTGTGTTTCCAGGATTTGTTTCAAGATTTAGAGCTCCTTTTAGCAGTTCTTGTAGTGCTGGCTTGGTAGTGATGAATTCTCTTAGTGTGTGTTTGTCTGAAAAAGACTATCTTTCCTTCATTTATGAAGCTTAGTTTCACTGGGTACAAAATTCTTGGCTGATAATTGTTTTGTTTAAGGAGGCTGAATATAGGGCCCCAATCCCTTCTAGCTTGTATGGTTTCTGTTGAGAAATCTGCTGTTAATCTGATAGGTTTTCCTTTATAGGTATCTGATGCTTTTGCCTTACAGCTCTTACGATTCTTTCCTTTGTCTTGACTTTGGATAACTTGATAACTATGTGCCTAGGTGAGGATCTTTTTGTGATGAATTTCCCAGGTGTTCTTTGAGCTTCTTGTATTTGGATGTCTAGCTCTCTAGCAAGGCTGAGGAAGTTCTCCTTAATTATTCCCCCAAATATGTCTTCCAAACTTCTAGATTTCTCTTCTTCCTCAGGAATGCCAATTCTTAGGTTTGGTAATTTAACATAACCCCAGACTTCTCGGAGGCTTTGCTAATTTTTTAAAAATTCTTTTTTTTTTTTTGTCTGTGTTGGATTGAGTTATTTCAAAACCTTGTCTTCGAGCTCTGAAGTTCTTTCTTCTGCTTGTTTGATTCTATTGCTGAGACTTTCCAGTACATCTTGCATTTCTCTAAGTGTGTCCTTTATTTCCTGAAGTTGTGACTATTTTTTATTTATGCTATCTATCTCACTGAAGATTTCTCCCTTTATATCTCGTATATTTTTAAAAATTTCCTTAAGTCGGACTTCACCTTTCTCTGGTACCTCCTTGATTAGCTTAATAATCAACCTTCTGAATTCTTGTTCTGGCAATTCAAGCATTTCTTGGTTTGGATTTGTTGCTGGTGAGCTAGTGTTTTTTTTCTTTTTCTTTTTTGAGGTGTTAAAGAACCTTGTTTTGTCATATTGCCAGAATTATTTTTCTGGTTCCTTCTCATTTGGGTAGGCTATGTCAGAGGGAAGATCTGGGGCTCAAGGCTGCTGTTCAGATTCTTTTGTCCCATGGGGTGCTCCCTTGGATGTAGTACTCTCCTCTCCCCCTTTTCCTAGGGATGTGGCTTCCTGAGAGCCGAACGGTAGTAATTGTTATTTCTCTTCTGGATCTAGCCACCCAGATGGGCTACCAGGCTCTGGGCTGGTACTAGGAGATGTCTGCATAGAGTCCTGTGATATAAACTATCTTTAGGTCTCTCAGCCATGGATACCAGCACTTGCTCCAGTGGCGGTGGCAGGGGAGTGAAATGGACTCTGGGAGGGTCCTTAATTATATTATTGTTGTTTATTGTAGTTTTGTGCTGGTTGCCCTCCTGCCAGGAGGTGGCGCTTTCGAGAGAGCATCAGCTGTGGTAGTAAAGGGAGGGTCAGGTGGTGGGCAGAGCCCTAGAACTCCCAAGAGAATATGCCCTTTGTTTTCAGCTACCAGGGTGAGTAGGGAAGGACCATCAGGTGGGGGCACGGCTAGGCATGTCTGAGCTCAGACTCTCCTTGGGAGGGGCTTGCTGTGGCTGCTGTGGGGAATGGGGGTGTGGTTCCAGGTCAATAGAATTGTGTTCCCAAGAGGATTATGGCTGCCTGTGCTGTGTCATGCAGGTTGTCAGGAAGTCGGGGAAAGCTGGCAGTTACAGGCCTCATCCAGCTCCCGCACAACCCAAAAGGCCAGTCTCATTTCCACCATGCCCCCTGCCCCCCACCTCACCAGCACTGAGTCTGTTTCCAGGCAGTGGGTGAACAGGGCTCAGAACTTGCACCAGGCTACCAGCCTCCAGGCTGAGAAAGCAAGCAGGACTTTTTTTTTTTTTTTTGAGGCGGAGTTTCGCTCTTGTTGCCCAGGCTGGAGTGCAGTGGCCCGATCTTGGCTCACCGCAACCTCCGCCTCCCGGGTTCAAGCGATTCTCCTGCCTCAGCCTACCAAGTAGCTGGGATTACAGGCATGTGCCACCATGCCCAGCTAATTTTTTGTATTTTTAGTAGAGACGGGGTTTCACTGTGTTAGCCAGGATGGTCTCGATCTCCTGACTTCGTGATCCGCCCGCCTCGGTCTCCCAAAGTGCTGGGATTACAGGCGTTGAGAAACCGCGCCTGGCCTTTCATGCCTCCCCACCTGTTGAGTCTGCACATCAGATTCATGCCCTACCCGGAGTTCTGGCTAGGAAACTCTGGTTGTAATTGTTACAAAGTTCAGCTGGAGGTTTCCTTCTCCCTGTAGTCTTTTCCCAGTTCCTCTGGCAGCCCTCCCCAGGGACCCCTGTGAGACAAGTCAGAAATGGCTTACATGGGGACCCAGAGAGACTGCAGGGCTTTTCCTGCTGCTTCCTCTACCTCTGTAGTTCACTCAGGTGTCTACATTGTCTCAGCTCAAATCCTTCTCCCATGATCTGGACTTTCAGGTTCCCCAGTGAGGGCACGCGTTCATGGGCGGATGATCCTCCTTTCCCACTTTCACAGTTTGGGCATGCACAGTATTTGGGCTGTCTCCTGGGTCCTGCGGGAGTAATCCGCTTCCTTCAAAGGGTCTGTGGATTCTCTTGGCTTTCCTGGTATATTCCTGCAGTAGTTCTTGGAGCAGAAGTTCACAATGTGACTCCCGACATGCTGCTCTATCCATCCGAGTGAAAGCTGCAATTTAGTCCTGCCTCCTGTCCGCCATTTTCCCCCCTCTCCTTGGAGCTGCTCTTTCATACCTTCTGTGCCTGGGATCCTCTCTTCTTCCCCATTTGAGTCACTTCTTGAACAACTTTGCATTTGTGCAAGTGAGAATGGTGGGTTTTCCATTCGCCTAGGAGGTTGGGAACTTTAGGTATAGTATACAATTTACAAACCGCTGTGTGGTGGTTGGTTGCTTGTTCCTTTCACATCACCTGGGGCTGGCAGGCAGCAGCTGGTATCCCTAAAGAGGTGCAGATGGAAAGCATCAACATTGACAAGAGCCCATCATCAATTTCCCCTTCCTGATAAGGGAGTTTCTCTGTGATTCAGGCCAATTCCCCTGGATCCACAGAGCCAGGAGGTCTGGCTGTGCAAGGGAGGGCAGGAAAAGCTAGAGTACCTGAGATGGGGAAGGAGGAATGAGAGAGACACAGGATGCAGAGCCAGGTTAGAAAGCAAAGAGTGAGAGCACATCAGAACCAACCAAACAACAACAACCAAAAAGGAAGGAGCTCCACAGCCCTGAGCATTTCTGAAGTCTCAGGCTCACTATGGGGCCTCTTCCCATAGTATTCCATCAATATGTCAATAATACCTACCCTGCAGGTTGCTGTGAGGTTTAAAGGAGCTAATGTACATGGGATACCTGGTCCAGCATGTTGACTTTACGGAGTCCCTACAACTACCAGTGTTATTTAAAATAATTATTAAGATGGTGGACCCATGATCAGACCCAAGTTGTGTCAACAGAACAGACTATCTGAGATCCTGATGGCATGTGCTCCCTCTCCACCTACCACTTGACACTTCAGAGTCTCAGGGCACATGTCACATCTCACCTCAAATGAGGTGCCAGGTTGGCCTAGGGCAAGAATTCAGAAGGACTGGGAGGAGAGATCAGGGCTAGGAGACGGCACCCAGCTTGTCTCCTTCTCAGAGCAGAGGGGCAAAGTCAGCCCTTTGCTCAGGGTTTGCTACGCATCCACTGAAATTTGGCATCAGTCCTTCCGCTGAATCTCTGTTTGCTGGCCATGCCTTAAAAAACAAATACTGGTCAGTTGTTAAAGTTCACTTGGTCTTGACAGCCAAAGCCAGGAGCATTTGGCCAACATCATGAGTCTGACTCAGCAGAGCGGAGCCCACTGCATGCTTGAGCAATGCTTTGAAGCAAGTCATATCTCACCTCAAATGAGGTGCCAGGGATATTAATGCAATGAGACTGCTTAGTCAATCTGCGCCCTGCTGGGTGAATCACACTCCAAACACCTGTAGGTAAGAACATTCGCTGCAGCTGAGTATATTGCCAGCAACCCTTCCCTGGTGCCTGTTTCTATCTCTGTTAGTGGGGACCTCCTTAAAATGCTGCCTTCAGACAAACTGTCTACGCGGCACTCAGCCTATGGCAGTCAGTAGGTAAACTAGGAATCTTTTTACAGACAGTGAACGTTAAAACCAGCAGGACATCATGAGTTGCTCAAAGAGAGTGATGATAAAAAAATGGTTAGAATTTGAAACAAAAGGGGACAATCTCTTCTTCATACAGGGATAATAACAGAGCAAACATATTATAAAATCAATGCATTATTGGCACAGACCTGCAATTCAGCGGGTATCCAAATGGTGATGTGATGAATGGTAACACAGCACTGAATATCTTCAGAATCAATACCTTAGGTCCACATTTGAGGACTCCTTAAGTATCCCCTTCCAAGTCCCTGCCATCACCCCTGGGTATTCTGTAAAGCAGAGATGGCTTTTCAGAGTGGCCCCAGGGGAGGAGCAGTCAGCTCAGCATCCAGGACAGAGGTCACTGGAGTGCCCCAGCCATGTGAAGGCAGGCTAGCCAAGGGTTCCACCCCAGAAGAAGCATTAATGCCTTAGGTACTACACAAGCTACTAATTAATGAATAATAAATAGACCTTTTGGAATGGCCTAACTTAAAATTACAAAATGAAATGTATTTGCTAGTCTCCTAGAACATTCACTTTTCTGCAGGGCTGCCTCTTTCTACTCCTCGTAGTGAAGAGTCCAGCAAAGAGCTGAGCAATGCGATTGGCTTCAGACACATTTGGATATTCAGCGATCCTGGGACACATCTCGGGTGTCCCTTCTCACCTCTGGTGATGGTTTTGCCTCCCAAAGTGTCCTCTCCTTCTCCTTGGCTCTAATCCTACCCAACTTCCCAGAACCAGCGTACACCCCCACCCCAGAATGCCTTTCCTGGTCACCCCATCTTGTAGAGCTCCCTCCTCCTTCTGCAAGTATTTGTCTCATAATCATTCCTGTGTCTTTTACTCTCCCTCGATGTATTGTTTAGATTCATAACATTATGATTATGTAGCTTCCCTCCTGTTGCAGGGTTGCTTTTTCGCAGGGACTGTGCCCACCTTGGTGTTCTCCATAGAATGCTTCTCAGATGCAGTGTGTGGTACAAATGCCCAAGATCTTGTTAAAATGCAGTCTGACTCAGTGAGTCTCTCTGGGGGCAGGCCCTGAGATTCTGCATTTCTAATAAGCTGTCAGGTAATGTCAAAGCTGGTCTGTCTAGGGACCACACTTTGAGTACCAAGGGACTATCATATCTAGGACAATGTCACGTGTGTGGTAGATTTTCAATAAATAGTTATTCATCATGGGCTCTTTCACCTATTCTCCACCATGGCCTGCGGAGCTGAGTCCTCAGTTCCCTTTGAGGAACAAATATGTAGAGGCCCTGGAAACTGTGTGCTGGCCTTTGGTCATCCCAGAGCCAGGATGGGCTCCACACTCCTCCCACCTGCTCTGGCCTGCGGCAGCATTCCCACGTTCCTTCTATGAGAAAAACAACATGCATCAGGCACTATGGGACGGCGCTGACAAAAAAGACAAAATGTCAGGTCTCATAGCCTCGAAAATTTCCTGCCCATTAAATAAGCATTCCTTGGGTGGTTTTCTCTATCACTGCTAAATATTAAAGTCATAGGTCTCACAGTGTGTAGGCTCAAAACATGCTTCATTCCAGAAGCCACTGTTTTGTCAACTTTACAAACCACATAAAATAGTTTGAATACTGAAAACATCAAGCTTACACAGAGAAATGATATTTTGCTATGGGACTGAATATTTTTAATAAGATCCTATTTCCTGGGGAAAGAAGAAAAGTCGCAATGTAAGCAATAGCAGCAAGGAAGATCATTATGGTTCCTAAGTAATCCAACTACTGATGATAAATGACATAGCAACATGTGCATTTAGGTTTTTTGTTTTTTTTTTTTAAAAAAACTGTGTTCCATGCTAGTAAAGAATTAACTAGCAAAGAACAATATCCTTAAAACAGCTATACATATTTTCAATACATCTAACACATAGCCTACAAAGTAACCAATGTGAATTTGAACTGAGTGCTCCTTTTTTTGTTATAGCTGATAGGTCTCTTAAGATCTCAATGAGTGTAGGTTAACAGATAAATAGAATAAATTGTAAACTGCTCTGCTGGTGTCTAGCACATAGCAGGTATTCAACAAAGGAATGTTGTTAAACAAAAAATGAATGAATGGAGAGAGGAAGACAGGGGTAGGCACCCTTATGGCTTTGTGAATGGGTCCACAGCGTGGTATTTTGTACTTGAACCAGAAGTCGTATGAAAATGAGATACGAACATTTACAGGGTCATAGTCACCATTATTAAATAATGGGAGCCACACTGTACAGCTTGTCCTTAACTGACAAAAGATAAACTCTGCATACAGGCATTGATGACATATGGATATAGAGCTACCAAGGACTCAGTCGACCAGGCCAGCGACACAGTATCGTTTAATGAAAAAGGATACAGCCTGCTACGTATTTATGCATATACACTCACTGAAGGTCTATTTCATGTCAAGTCCTGAGTACCTTAGGTTTTCACAATGACAAAATAAGAATTCATTTGCTTTAAAAAATTGGAATACATCACTCTGAAATATTTACATACGTAAAAAACAACCATATGCATTTTCTTAAATGGTTTCTTTCAAAATCCAGAAAAAAATCAGAAAAAAACTTATAAAGATGATTCTATAAAAATAAGAACTTTTGTATCATTAAGAAAATCTGGCCAGGTGCAGTGGCTCACGCGTGTAGTCCCAGCACTTTGAAGGCTGAGGTGGGCAGATCACTTAAGGTCAAGAGTTCGAGACCAGCCTGGCCAATATGGTGAAACCCTGCCTCTACAAAAAAATACAAGAATTAGCTGGGTGTGGTGGTGTGCATCTGTAATCTCAGTTACTCAGGAGGCTGAGGCATGAGAATTGCTTGAATCTGCAAGGTGGAGGTTGCAGTGAGCTGAGATTGTGCCACTGCACTCTAGCCTGGGTGACAGAGTGAGACTCCATCTCAAAAACAAACAAACAAAAAGTCTTAAGCAAAGTAAAAAGGCAAATAAAATTTTAAAAATGTAAATTATAACTCAAAGGATTAATATCCCTAATATAGAAAAGATTAGAAAAATAGAGAAACAAAAGACCAATGATTGTATAGAAAATGGACTAGAGATATGGTCAGAGTTCACAGGAAGAGAAATGCAAATAGCACTTCACTATATGCTCAATCTCATTCATAAGAGAAAAATGAAATTTAAAACTGCACTAATATGATTTCTCATTTATCAAATTGGAAAAAATCCCAAAGTTTGACAATATCATGTAATTAGCAATGCTGTGGGGAAATGGGCACTGTCGGTCATTGCTGGTGGGAATATAAAATGGTACAACCCCTATAAAGAGGAATTTGGCATTGTCCAGAAAAATGATGTATAAATTTACCTTTTGCTCCAATTATCCTACTTCTGGCAATCGATCTCAAGAAAGATACCCAAAGATGTATGCACAGGATATGTATTACATGCAGCACAAATACCCACCAATAGGAGAAGGTGAACAAACCAGGACACGGCCAGACAATGGAGCTGAAGAAAGCAACAGCACTCCTAGAGCCCAGATCAGGGTCTCTCAATACTGTTTCTTACTGAAAGACACAGGGCTCCTTAAAAAATGGCTAATTCCAGGTATGGAGTAATAAATGTGCAAGATGGATTCCAGAACATGTTGTCATACAAGAGATCAATCAATCAATCAATCAATCTAGCTCTCAAAGAGTCAGGTCAAAAGGAAGTGATCTAACTTTTAGAAGCTTGCTCTGGCCAATGAAGGGACAATTGGAATATCATTAAGGATAATAACTGTAATGGACTTGAACACACAGAACATGCATGAATCCCTGAATTTATAAAAATATTTGGAAAAAACCTTACTGGTTAACTTTAGGAGATATTAGAAATCCAACTTACTGTTTTTAAATCAGTTAAAAAAAGGAAAAAATTAATTCCTTTCGCCATTCGTATATGAAATGTACTTTAGGGAAATCAAATCATTGATGAGAGGAAGCTTCTCTTTACAGAAGTTTTCCAGTTAGTAAAAAGAAGATGATAGAATATAACTACTGGACAATCTCTGATCAATTAATGAATTTAGGCAGTTCATAAATAGTTGCTATTGATAAACAGATAACCAGACAATATGTATTTTGTGATGAAAATACACAGAACCACATGTGAATTATCCTAAAAAAGAAACCAAAAACAAAGAAATAAAGAAAAAACCAGAATAAGGTCACAATGCAAGCAAACTTTTATCTAATTACATCTAATTATCAACTTACAGGAAATACGGAGGACAAAATAACATGGTAAATGACACCACAGAGATGCCATCAGCAACATTCACACTGTGGAAAATTCTCAAGACAAACTGCTCTCTTCAACAAATGAGTTAGAAGAGGCAAGGAAAAAATGGAGGAGGCACCTATAGATTAAAAGATATTTTAGAGACCTGTCAACTAATTGCAACATGTGGATATGGACCTTATTTAGATCCTGATGCAAACAAACTATTTAAAAATGGATTTCTGAGATAACTGGAGGGATCAAACAGTGGATAATTTCTAATACTGTGATAACATTTTAAAAAAGAGTGCTTATTCTTTTTTCTCTCTTTTTTCTTTTCTTTTTCTTTCTTTCTTTTTTTTTTTTTTTTTCTTGAGACAGAGTCTCACTCCGTCACCCAGACTGGAGTGCAGTGACACAATCTCGACTCACTGCAACCTCCACCTCCTGGATTCAAGTGATTCTTGTGCCTCAGTCTCCCAAGTAGCTGGAATTACAGGAACATGCCACCATGTTGGCTAATTTATTGTATTTTTTTTTGTAGACAGAGGATTTTGCCATGTTGGCCAGGCTGGTCTCCAACTCCTGACTGCAAGTGATCCACCCATCTCAGGTTCCCAAAGTGCTGGATTACAATCCAGCCACCGCGCCTGGCCATTTTTAAGAAATACATACATTTAGAAATGCCTCAAAAGAAATTATATGATGTCTGGATTTTCTTCAAATCAATCTGATGGGAAGAGGGAACGGATGGTGGTATAGATGAAATGAGATTGGTCTTGAGTTGCTAATTGTTGAAACTGGGTGATGGATACATGGCAGTTCATTGTACGATTTCCACTTTGTAAATGTTGAATTTTTGATAATAAAAAGCTAAGACAAAATTAAATTAATAAAAATTAAATAAAGGAATAGGAATCTCCTGTATCTTCCCTCCTTCCCTGCCTGGGTATGTGATGACTTTTATTTCTGGAACACTTTACTCCAAGGTTCCTCTAAACGTTATGGGATTCAAATCCACTCTCAGGTGCCTTTGCAGTAGGAGGTGGCCAATGAGGGAAATAGGAAGAGAGGTGAATGAAGTCCCCAAGACTACAACTTTAAATAGAGAGTGACCTGACAATTCTAAATTTAGCGACATGATCTCTCCTAACCAGATGCCTGGAGTTAGATAAAGGTGTGCATGTGTGTGTTCTAAAGTCCTAGTGGGACATGAGCATCTTCCTTGAGTTGCTAGCTAGGTCTCACTTAGCAGGGAGGAGTGTGCTCTCAGCTGCATTCACCATGCAGAAGTGATGTGTTTCCTTTACCTGAGCCCCTCCTTCTGAAGAAAGGGATTTAAGAAAACCTGAAGGTCAAGGTGGCCATCCCTCTGTCCCTATTTCAGTAAGCTCTAAACTTGCACCCAAGGAAACACCATGGCATGCACTGACCCTAAGATCATTAGGCATCTTTGGGAAGATCTAATGTGAATGATTAGCCACATCCTTTTGAAAAAGAGGGAAGTCAGAGAGCCCCACAGTGGGGAGATGACCACCTGAGGCTCACCTGTAGAACCAACAAACCACCAGAACTGGAGCCACAGACTGTCATTTCTAGCCAGGTGCTGTTGTCACTCATCCCTATTTCCTAGAGGTTGGCAGTGGGTTACAAAAAATGTCTATGGAAATCAAGCCCAAACAATTCTAGGATCGAGCTATAGGAGTGATACTGCTGAACTGCTGAAATTTTCCTTCTGCAGTAAGTCTGACAGCCCAAGGTCATGGAACTTGAGAAGAGGATAGAGTCGGGGGAAAGGCTTTTTACCTTTTTTCTTTTGCTCTTTCGTTCTAAAGAAGCATACTGAATTCCACTGCTGAAGTCAAAGAGGCTTTTGCTGTCAGTCTCAGATAAATGCTTCATTCTGCTATGTGCTGCTCCACTCCCTTTATTCTCCTCTTTAATTGAACCTGAATTGCATGGTTATTTTTAACATAATTGGTAAAAATTCAAGAGAGTTAATGCCATGTCCTTGGCTCATAAAACCCTTTCTTTTCCTTAGATGTGTTTCAACTCAGTGCTGATGCCAGGTATTAACTGTAGGATGACTATAGTTAACAACGATATATTATTAGTTTCAAATAGCTAGGAGGAGGATAGTGAATGTTCCCAACACAAAGAAATGATAAATGTTTGAGATAATAAATATGCGAATTACCCTGGACTGATCACTATACCTTATGTGTATTGAAATAGAACCATGATGTACAATTATTGTACATCACGAATACATACAATTACTATTTGTCAACTAAGAAAATGTTTTTAGAGCCGGGTATTAGTGAAGGAATTTTTGAACATTTGAGCTAAACCTGCTCTCCCAAGTATTCAGATTTGTTTTATAAAACAAAGTCTCCCCTAATTGTCTTTGTCTTAAATGCTTTCCATTAGCTTCATCTATTAGCTTCACCAAGAAGATGGACCTTCAGCCAAATTGGAACATTCCCTAAAATTCTCTGTTCACTGAAACACTCGGCGTAGGAGTTCTATTCTACTCAGGTCTGAAATGATCGCAGCTGAGGAAGTTCTCAGCTCTGCAGAGTCAAGAAACAGAGTCGTGAAGGAGGCTCAGTGGAGGGAATGTGGGGCCTGGAGATGGAACACCTGGGGCTGCCTGTATCACACTGAGCCATCACACACCTCTCTGTGCACGTTTCCATGTTCATTAAAAGGAGACGAGAGTCCAGCTTATGATATGTTGGAAAAGGAAAAACTGTGGAGATAGTATAAGATCAGTAATTTCCAGGGGTTGGGGGAAGGATTTTTAGGGCAATGAAATGGCTCTGATACTGTAATGATAGATACACATGTCATTAGACATTTGTCAAGATCCACAGAATGTACAACATCAAGACTGAACCATAATGTAAACTAGGAGCTCTGGGTGGTGATGATGTGTCAGTATGGGTTCATGAATGGTAGCAAACGCAGCACACCAATGGGGGATGCTGACAGTGTGGCAGGCTGTGGATGATGTACATCCACAGAATGTACATCATCAAGACTGAACCATAATGTAAACTAGGAGCTCTGGGTGGTGATGATGTGTCAGTATGGGTTCATGAATGGTAGCAAATGCAGCACACCACTGGGGGATGCTGACAGTGTGGCAGGCTGTGCGGGTATGGGAGCAAGGGGTTATATGGGAACTTTCTGCTTAGTTTTGCTGTGAACCTAAAACTGTTCTAAAAAGTCTTTTTTTTTTTTTTCCTTAGGAGAGGGTAGAAGCTTCCTGACCTATCTCCTAAGACTTCTGAGAAGGTCAATGAGAGAAACAATATAAATGGCAGCTGAAAATGGCCAGATAAATATATGTAGTGTGCTTATTCTTAAAAGTCATAGTATTCCAATTGACTGAAAGCATTGGAGGGATGAGTTCGGTGGCAAGGGGCATGGGCTAGGTGATCTCCTTACCACCTATGCCTCGGGACTTTATGTGAGAAGCAACATAGCCCAAGTATGTAGTGGGGTGATGGGCCCACTGGAATTTCCACAACTGAATGATAATAGTCTTTCAGAGGAGGCAACTGGGGCATGGTGCTCTTATTACTAAAATGCTATCATTGTTCTAACACTTTTATTCCTCTTTTGGAACAAGTTTCCAGAATCTCATTTTAGCATTCTCAAGTTATGAATTTGGTTTCTGGAAAGGGTTACAGTGTGATAAGTAAAGCATGCGCTCAAGTGATTATAAAGCAATGATGAGCTGATGTTCTTGTTTGGCGGTGAGAAATGATAGAGATGCCATCCAAGCAAAACTGTACTATGATTGCACAACAGAAAATTGTATTAAACCATGACATGCCCTGTACTATCTAAGATCAAATTGTTTTGATGTCAGCTTGTCAAGTTCCAATCCATATGTTCCAATATAAGACCACGGACTGAGTTAAGAGTAACTTCTCATGGACCCATGCATTTCAAAGACCATCTGAGTTCAGCAACTCACCTGATTTGCAAATTCTTACCAATCTCTGCTTCCTAACTTCTACCTTAAACAGTACCCCATAACTAACTGAGCCCCTACAACTCTGTAAGTTCCTCCTTTAGAGACACAGACTCTGACAAGTTAGTGCTCTCCCTGATCAGTAAGTGTAGTAAAGCCGTCTTTATGTGGTCTTTGCATTGGGGGCTTCGACACTGGGCAGGGTCCTAGCCTGTCCATGAACCCCTAGGCTTTTTCATGCTGTTTTCCCCCTTTCTGGCTTCCTCACTCACAAAGAGAGTTTAGCTCTGTTCTTGTGTACTTCTCTCATCCAGGTGGCTTGGAGGTGCTTCCCTCTTAGGAGTATTTATGGTTTAACCTGAAGCCTTAGAAGACCACTGTATTAGCCCATTTTTATGCTGCTGATAAAGACATACCTGACACTGGGCAATTTACAAAAGAAAGAGGTTTAATTGGACTCACAGTTCCACATGGCTGGGGAGGCCTCACAATCATGGTGGAAGGCAAGGAGGAGCAAGTCACATCTTACATGGATGGCAGCAGGCAAAGAGAGAGCACTTGTGCAGGGAAACTCCCATTTTTAAAACCATCAGATCTCATGAGACTCATTCACTCTCATGAGAACAGTGCAGGAAAGACCTACCTGCATGATTCACTCACCTCCCGCTGGGTTCCTCCCATGACATGTGGGAATTGTGGGAATTACAATTCAAGATGAGACTTGGGTGGCGACACAGCCAAACCATATCAACCACAACTCAAACAACATTCCAGGGCCCTCACAAGAATAATTCTCCAAAGAAGAAATTTCAGTTCTGGTGCTGTTTGGGTGTAGGGAAAGACCTTGCTCAGAGCTTCTGGAACATGGTTATAGTAGTCCAGAAAGTATCACAACAAGAACCAGGAGAGGTGTTTTGTTGTTATTGTTTTTTAATTAAAGTAGGCTCCTGATCTCCACTTGTAGATGTTCAAGTTCAGTCTGTCTGGGGTACAACCCAGGGACTTGCATTTTTTATGACCACCCAGATGGAGCCATGGTGGTTCTGAAGTAGAATGCTTCAGACAGAAGGCTACCCCCTCAGCTCCCTGTCAGCCCACCTTGGCTGGGTTCTTTTCTGATGGGCTGTGAGTGTGAGTCTAGTGACCATCTCAAAGGGCTTCCCAATTGATTCTGATAGAGATGCTGTTCCTTCATAGAAGATCAAAGTCAGAGGAACCAGCTTGTCCTACACATTTATGGGTGAGGGGGCTCTGGGGTCCTCAAGGTGCTGTGAGTGGAACAAGCGTGAGTTACTGCAGCTGAGTCCCTTCACAGCATCGCATCAAAGATCTTCCTTTGTCCAGGTTGGGAATAGGCTTTTCCACTCTATGAACAGATGGAGCAGCTTTCTCTTTGAGCAGCTTTCTCTTTTCCCCCAAAATTAACTGCCTTAAAACACTTGAAATCTCTAGCCATCCGCAACTGCTGTGTGATTCTTCCTCTTTGGGTAAGAATGGGGAGCTGCCAAGTGCAGCAGAGTGTGGAGAATGGCTTCAGAGCTTCTTGGCGGCAGAATTTGTTTCATGCGGAACTCCAGCATATGGCTCAGGTAGGAGATCATCTATGTCCCAGAAAAAAGGGATGTCCCATGCTCTGCCTTCTGATCCTCAGAAGAAGGGCTGAAGGTGGGTGGGGACAAGTCCCAGGCACTTAATGTTGGCAAGCACTTTTGAGGCAGGTGGAATCTTTGAAGGGGAGAGTGGGCTCAGAGATATGCTTGAGAAAGAAAGGATTTGGCTGGAGAAAGATTGGAGGCCAGGGACCCAACACTCATAAGGAGACAAATGGCACAGTGCAGCAAGGGGTGCGGATGGTGGACCTGCCTCCACACTGACCTGGCCATCCTACTGGGAACCCACTGACGGCTCTTGGCTCTGAGAGCTGCTCCACACCCAGTGCTGCCTCTGTCCTCTGCAGAGAGCTGAGCTCTTGGCCCTGGTCTTTGCTGTCTAGAAACCATAGACAGTCCTTCAGACCCATTGGTTTATCTAGACTCTCTTCCTTTTTTTTTTTTTTTTTTTTGAGACAGGGTCTCACTCTGTTGCCCAGGCTGGAGTGCAGTGGTGCAATCACAGCTCACTGTAACCTTGAACTCCTGAGCCCAAGTGCTCCTCCTGGCTCAGCCTCCCACATAGCTGGGACTAAAGGCATGAGCCGTGGCATGAAGCCCAGACCCTCTCCTAGCCAGCTGGTGGTGTGGGGTTGCTATTTCTTCCAATACATGGGAGATTTAAATAGGTTTTTGGGATGGTTCTAAATAACCTCCTCCTTTTGCTTCATCAAAGGGTGAAGACATGGTTCTTACCTGTTGTGCACAAGGGGAAATGCAGATAGCATTTAAGAAAAATGATAAAAAATTAATTGTCCTACTTCTTATGGACAATGCGAGAGAAGAAAATAGTTAATAAAGATTGCTTCTTTGGACCAAAATGAAGAGGATTTTCCCAGGGCAGATACTGCTAGAGCCTCCTTGATTAGACAGAGATCTGAATAAAATAGTACATTGAAGTGAGAGGCATTTAAATGAGAAAGTTTATTGGACAGGGTAACTATGGTGACAGCCCCACTCAAGATACAAAAGCCGTATGCGTCTTTCTGAGCCTAAGCAAATTCTAAAATTCACGGAAGATCTCTAAAAAATATAGGATGGGAATCAGCAGCAAAATCTGCCTACGAGTCTGCTAGTATCTCAGATGACAAGACGCCTTCCACCTCCCTTCCTGTCCCCAGGAGGACTGAACTCTTTGTTGGATGCAGATCTCAGCCTTCTCTCCTTCATTCCCTGCCTAACATTCCCTTGGTCCCTTGGTGAAAGCTTTTTCTTTGTGGCTTAGGTAAAGAACAGTGCCCTTGTTGGGCTGCTGCCTGAATGAAATTGATAGGCACCTTGTTGACGATGTTTCACACAAACATTTTCCAAGATTGCCCACTCACAAAGAGGACCTTCCAGCCTCCTGCTCACATTTCTTCTGTGTTTTCTCCAGGGATGTGCTTTCTGCCGGATCTCTGGTTGGGAAGAGTGTGTTTATGCACACACAGAGATGTTTATACATATACACGCAGTGGAGTGGAACCTGTTTCAGCATCTGCTAGCTGTGTGACCTCGGGCAGGTGACTGACTTCTCTGAATCTCAGATTCCTTGTGTGCAGAATGGGGATGATAACCAGCTCTCTCAGAGACAGGGCGGGATTAAGTAAGACAGTGTCTGTGACGCATAAGCATAAAATCGTGCCTGGCACATAGTAGGTCCTCAACAAATAGAAGCTATGATTTTCATTATCTTTTCAAAGTGAGTAAAACAACCAGTTTTTGGATCCACTAATGCAAGGCCAGGTGGTAGTGAACTAACAGATGGAAGGCTGGAGTGAAGGGACAGGGAGGCTATGGGCTCAGTCTCCAGTGGGTTTTGTTAGGGGCACTATCTGCTTGTTCTCAGGGTACACATGAGGTGAACAGGTGCTCTGGTGCCTCCCTTCATTCATCTCACATCTTTGGCACAGAGTTGCCATGAAGTGGCAAAGCCAGTGTTCAACAGAGGCCATTAGCACAGGGACAAAACATTCTCTGTGGCACCATGCCGCAGGAACACAGGACTGCCACGCAGAGCTGTCCAGCTCGTGCTTGTATCAGGATGCACCAGAGTGAGGGGTGAGTGGGGCCTGGAAGAGGCCTCTGGTTCTAATTCCCCAGGTAGCCCCTTTTCTGCTGTACACAGGGGTCCTGTGGGGCACACATGGGCACATTCCCCAGGCTCCAGAGGAGAAAATCGCTCCCAAGCCCACCTTCTCACTTTCAGACCTGATTAATTTGTCAGAGAGCGGAGGAAACTCTTGTCCTCAGCAGAGGCTGGACTCTTAATTTAAGGCAATGCTTCCCTTCTCTCCCACTGAAGGAGTCCAAATGGCCTTGGGGTAGCTTTAGCTCCTGGAGGCAGGGGCTATGGTCAGAATGTCCCACTGCAAAGGCAAAAGGTATTTAAAACCCCACATTCCATCCTAAAACTTCCCAAGGATTTTGCATTCGAATCCACATTGTGGCTGCTTTTAATAATGAATCTTCTGTGCTGCCTGAATCTGGAACCATGCTTAGCCAGTGCTTTTGCTCCACCCCCTACCTCTGTTCTCCAACCTGTGACCCCAGAGGTTATTAGTTCCCCAGTTTGAGAGATAAGGGTGTGGCATTGCAGGAAGTAGAAATGCATGGGGTTGAAGGACAAAGACCCTGCAGCCAGGCTGCCTAGCTCGAATTATGGCTGAACTCCTAACTAGCTCTGTGATTCTGGGTAAGCCACTTACCCTCTCTGGGCCTCTCGCTCCTCACATGTAGTACTAGGGTGATAATAAGAGTGTCTACCTTTCAGGGCTTTTGTAAGGACTAAATGAGTTAATGTACCTGAAGTACTTAGAACAACATCTGGCGTATAATAATCCTATATAAGTATTTGGTATTTTCATCATGATCATTTATGAGCTTCCACGAGGGAGCTGGAAAGCAGTTCGTACTCCAGCCCCTCCACCTGTTCCTAGTGAAATGCTGGACAATGACTCTACCCCTTGGTCAGCTGGCTATCAGAGCCCTTAGTTAAGGGGGCACAGGCATTAAAAAGCATGAAAAATGATTGTTTGGTGAAATCTGAATAGGTCTGTTATCTACCCAACTGTGTTGTGTCAATGAGAATTTCCTGGGTTCAATTTTGCCCTAAGGTCAGGGATGATGTTACCATTGGGGGAAGCTGGAAGAGGGACACATGGGGCCTCTCTGCTATTTTTGCAACATCCTGTGAGATGAAAATCACAGCCACGCACTGCATAGTGATGTTTCAGTCAACAACAGACCGCATATATGACTGTGGCCACATCGGATTATAATACTGCATTTTTACTGTACCTTTTCTACATTTAGATATGTTTAGAGACACAAATACTTGCCATTGTGTTACAATTGCCTATAGTATTGAGAACAGTCACATGCTGTACCAGTTTGTAGCCTAGAAGCAGAGGAAATAGCATATAGCCTAGGTGTATAGTAGGCTATACCATCTAGGTTTGTGAGTGCTCGCTATGATGTTTGCACAATGATGAAGTCGCCTAGAGATGCGTTTCTCAGAATGAATCCCATTAAGTGACACTGAACTATTTTAAGAATAAATACTTAAACAATTCGGCCAGGTGCCTCACACCTGTAATCCTAGCACTTCGGGAGGCCAAGGTGGGTGGATCCCCTGAGGTCATGAGTTCGAGACCAGCCTGGCCAACACAGTGAAACCCCATCTCTACTAAAAATACAAATATTAGCTGGGCGTGGTGGCACGCACCTGTAGTCCCAGCTACTTGGGAGGCTGAGTCAGCCTTGAACCTGGGAGGTGGAGGTTGCAGTGAGCCAAGATTGTGCCACTGCACTCCAGCCTGGGTGAAAGAGCAAGACTTTGTCATAAATAAATAAATAGTTAAAAAATAATTGATGTGTTCTTGGGGCTGTGGCACTGACCCTATTGCAAGGCACCCTGAGATTTCAGCTTAGGGACTAGCTAGAAGGTTAGGTGGGGGTCTGGACTGGAGGTGTCCAACTGGGTGCTAGAGGCCAGGAAAGGTGAGGACACAGAAATCCATGCAAGCAATGGTCAGATGTGAATCTGTGCTAAAAAGAAGATGAGCTGGACATTCCTTCTCACTTTTCACTGGGTAGAAACAGTCATCAGTTTCTGGGGTTGGGGAAGTAGGGCGGTGGGGGGTGAGGGGGATAACTGAGTCCACAGTCCATATAAAAATTACATACATTTATGGGGTTCATAGTGATGTTCCGGTACATATAATGTATAGTGATCAGATCAAGGTAATTAGCATATCTATCATCTCAAACATTTATCATGTTCCTTCTAGCTCTTTGCAACTATATATTATTCTTAACTACAGTTATTCTACAGTAATATAGAACACTAGAAATTATTCTTCCTGTCTAGCTGTAATTTTGTAACTTTTAACAAATCCCTCCCTATCCTCTCTTTCCTCCTACCCTTCCCAGCCTCTAGTGTCCTCTGTTGAGAACCACAGTGTCCCCAACTCTCTGATGATAAGTATCATCTGTCTTGGGGCACTAGTTTAATTTAAAAAGCTGCAATTTCTCAGGCTCTTTCCTTGATTTGGTGGGCTTGGAAGCCAGGAATTTGTATTGAATAATTATCCAGGTAAATCTTAAAGTAGACATTGGCACTGCACAGACACCCCCCTCTGTGTAAGAAATTTACATCTATCTCAACATGTGCCAGATCACATCGCCCCCACTGTGCAAAGCTCTCAAAAGCAGTCATTGTCACCCCAGCTACACGTTAGAATCACCATGGGAGTTTTGAAAAATCCCTGTGTCCCAGCCTCATCCCAGACTAATTAAGCCAGGGCCTCTGGGGCTGGGGACAGAGCATTAGTACCCTTCAAGGCTTCCTCAATGGTCCCAGTATGCAGAATCCCCTGGAGAGCTAGCTGCAACTCAGGTTACCTTGCCCCACTCCAGCTTCTGATTCAGGGGTTCTGGAATGGGGCCTGGGAATGTGCCTTTCTAACAAGTTCTCAGGTGCTGCTGGTGGTTTCAGGACCAAACTTTGGGGAACCCCTGGGTTGGGGAGAAGTGAGCAGAATGAGAAGATTAAGAGCACAGCCCCATAGCTGACAAACGCTGAACCTATTTCTATGATTAGAGGATGCATGGAAAGTTTTCTTAAGTGAGCTAACTGTGAGTCTGCAAATTAAATTTCTTAATTGTGCTCTTGGCTTCACCCAACAAGACTGCTTTGGCTTGCCAAGATCCTGAGGGGCCGACTGTCCCCACGGCAAGGCCACATCAAAGTGACTTGGGAGGAAAGGAAATTGCGTTCGTGCAACCGTTAAGTACTTCTTGTAAATGTTCTTCCTTGAACGCTCCTCAAACTCACCCTTAGGTTAAGTTAGGTAACCTGGTCACCTCTTCTGCTGTTTGAGGACCAAATCTTGTTTTCAGCTCTGGCCTCAGGCAGTTTTTGGTCTGTGTTGTGAATGCTGCACTTATAAAGTTAAATCCTGGAGCCTTAGGAAAAGCTCAGGCCTGTGGTGAGGGGTAGGATACCTCAGGGAGATGAGTCGTTTGCTTCTGGGAGGGGTCTTACTCGGGGTTGTCTTGGGTTGGAACGGGTACTCTACACCCTGGGGTCTGCCTGCCAGCAGGTGACCTGACCACCAAGAAGCCGCCTAAGGACATCTGGTCAAAACGTGTGCTGCAGTGGTAGAATTCTCACTTCTGTACTGGCTACTTGGCTTTAGCTCCTACCTGGGAGACAGCACAGTGAGACAGAAATAACTTTGTTTCTGCAACAGCTAGATCAAGCTCAAGCTCCTTTCCATACGAGTAAGTGGTTTAACCCCTACGAGCTGCCGTGCCCCCCTCTATAATGGGGTCAGGCCATCTGTGAAGCTCCAATGAGGATTAAATGGGACAGTAACTCATGGAATAGCCCCCAGCACAGTGCCAGCACAAGGGACTTCATGACTGGCTATACTTAGGGTTCTGTTCTTTCAGCCTGTCTTAGGGTAGGAGGCTGAGAGAGTGGGGCTGGAGAAGAGGCATGAAGGATTAAGATGTTCCCCTGGAGGCCAGGTGCAGTGGCTCACGCCTGTAATCCCAGCATTTTGGGAGGCCGAGGCAGGCGGATCATGAGGTCAGGAGATCGAGACCATCCTGGCTAACACGGTGAAACCCCGTCTCCACTAAAAATACAAAAAAGTTGCCTGGCATGGTGGTGGGTGCCTGTAGTCCCAGCTACTCCGGAGGCTGAGGCAGGAGAATGGCGTGAACCCGGGAGGCGGAGCTTGCAGTGAGCTGAGATCGCACTACTGCACTCCAGCCTGGGAGACAGAGTGAGACTCCAACTCAAAAACAAAACAAAACAAAACAAAACAGATGTTCCCCTGGGAAGAATGTGCATCTCCTTCCTAGCAGGACAGCTGGGGGCTGTACATTCATCTTACTGGGCCATGGTGAGGAAAGCAGCCTCTAAGCCTGGACTTCCTGTGGAGCAGGTACTTGACCTCCTCCCGTAGTGGAGCTGTGGGCCCCATGGTCAACAAGATGTCCCTGACAGGCAGTATGTCCCTGTCCAGAGCATCACAGCCAGAAACTCCCAGAAATCCAGCAAAGTTTTCAGGCAGAGGCCAGTGCCCCTCTGGCTGCCCGTTGTGACACAATCCCAGAATGTTAGAGCCTGGGAGCCCACAGCCGGGAACGCTTTGTCCTTGTCATGTTGCTAACCATCTGCTGGGCTGAGGTGAGGACCCGGACCTCCTCATGATGACTCCTACACTGAAATCATTAATCTTATGTGTCAGCTTGACTGGGCTAAGGGATGCCCAGGCAGCTGGTGAGACACTCCTGGTGCGTCTGTGAGGGTGTTTCTGGAAAAGATGAGCATTTCAAACAGTAGGCTGAGTAAAGAAGATCTGCCCTTGCCAATGCGGGTGGGCATCCTCCAATCCACCGAAGGCTGGAATAGAAGAAAAGGGCAGAGGAAGGACAAATTTGCTCTCTTCTTGAGTGGAGACATCCATCTTCTTCTGGCATTAGCCACTGGGGGTCCTGATTCTCGGCTCTTTGGACTCTGACTGGGAGTCACACCATCAGTTCCCTTGGTTCTCAGGCCTTTATACTTGGTCTGAATTTCACCACCAGCTTTCCTAGCACTCTAGCTTCCAAACAACAGATCCTTGGCTTTCTCGGCCTCCATAACCATGTAAGCCAATTCCCATAATAAATCTCCTCTTCTATAGATCTCTCTCCAAGAGAGGATGGAGTGTGACTCCCCCAGCTCCCAATAGGCAGGGCTGGGGTCGTTTCGCTGTGTGTCTGCTCCTGCCTAGAGGGAGTCCCCACAGTGGCTTCCCTCTTCACGGTTAGGTTTCTGAGACCGCAAAGCCACTTTTCTATCCCAGAGGCCTCCCTGCCACTGCCCAGCCTCACTGTTCTGCTGGGCATAGCAAATGCAGTCTTGAACCCTCACCTCTGCATTTCCTGGCAGGCACTCAGCAGCAGAATCATAGATACTGTGCTCCATATGCCAAGAGGCATTAACAGCCACTGCTGTAAACAATGGTGACCTTCTGGCAAGCTGTCTTGTCCTGTCCAACTTGGAACGGCGGCCCGGAGAGGCACTCTGCTGCATGATGGCCAGAATAGCAATGACACTTACAGGATGGTCTGAGCACAGTCCTGCACCTCCACTTTATTAATTACAGAAAGGGAGAATGAAGGGCTCTAGAGGTTAATGGAGAAGTGCCTGCAAATGACTGGGCTGTATGGAGTGACATGCCACGTCAGCAGGGATCTGAAGGCCATCCAGTTGCACGGACCCCTGGGGGAGTACCCCGGCCATCACAGTTTCTCTGAGAAGCTCAGTGCCACGCATGTGGCAGGAAATCTCTAAGGAGCCTTCAGACAGCATCTGAAAGTCATATTCCAGCCCTAGGGTGCAGACAGGACCCTGGCATTGAGTCTGCACCATGGCTCAAGTGAAGCACAGCTTGCCACTTTAGAGGTTCTTGACTTCAGAGAACTGTGAGGTCCAGGGCAGGGACCTCAGGCCTGACCTGGCCTATCATTTGTTTTTGTACATACGAGTTCATCTGCATACAGACACACAAGTGTGCAGGAATTGTCACTGACTACTCTTGGGCTACAATGGCACGGCAAAGCTAAGTAGTTCTAACAGGGGCTATAGGCCCACAAAGAAAAAGATTCACAATCTCGCTTATTCCAGAAAGTGCGCCAACCTCAGGTCTAGGGGATAGAACATGGGCTGGGAGGCAAGACAGGTCCCTTAGGGAACCTGGAACCATTTAGCCTCAGCGCACCTCACCTCAGCTTTCTTATCTGTAGAATGGGATCAATGATATTTACCCTACCATGAGGTGGTGGGGATGAAATGATATGATTTCTCGGCACATGTGACCTATTCAGTATGAATCCTTCTCTCTCTGCTTGCTATGAAGTGGCGTTTGTGACGGCTGCTCTATCTGCTTCAAAAAGTGGTTATTATTTTACAGTAGATATGAAAGCACTCTGAAAAGTTAAAGATGCTCTGTTGTGGTAAGACTCTCCTACAAATATTATTCTTGAGATGAGAAATCTGGAGCTGCCAGCCAGGTTAAATCAAAATACAGTAGCTCCATTTTGATTGACTTGTCATGGGATAGCCTGAGGAGCCATGGATTTGGGGGGATCCAGTGCTCCTTTGTGGTGAGTCATGCACATCCCCACTGGGCACTCTGGGAGGTGGCCTGCTCTCCCAGCAGGGCTGCAGCCCATGTGAGCTGTGGGGCCTTAGGCATTTCCTTGGCTTCTCTGAGCCTCAGTTTCCCCACTTGAAAAACAGCAATGCCAATAGAAGTGTGGTGAAGACGTAATGAGACATGGTGACATAGAAAGGTGGCTCTAAAAATGTGAGCTCTTATTTTCATCCCAATTCTGGAATGAACAGCTGAGAGGGTGTGAGGGACTTGCACAAGGGGTCTGAGCCGGAAAGACAGGAGAATGAAAAGAAGGCAATGGTAGATAGTAATTTCTAACCTGGCTCCTGAAATAGATCTGGCCCCCAGAGAGGGGAGCAGTTCTCCATTTCTGGGCAAAACCTAAGTGACCCAGAGCAATGACAAATGGCTACTTGCACACCCTACAAGTGGCTGACACCACTATCTTGAGGCAAAAAATCATTTCAAATCCATTCCCTTAGGGCGTGGAATGACAATGGAAGCCTCATGAGTTTATGCTTTCTCTAGTGGTCTGGGTCTGTTAGTTAACCCCATGAAACTGCTACTGAAGAACGGTGAACTGAGAAAGGAACCACAAGATCTTTCAACTTTCTAAAGAATGCCTTGGTGTAAGCCAAGGGGCCTTACTGCATCCAGAATGGTTCGAGAGTCCTTAATTTTAGTGCAATCCGCACAGCATTCTGTCTGACCTAGGTTAGAGGGCCTTCCTGCTCCCTCCTATCCTGTTGAACTTCAAGGGACACAGAAGTTTAGGGGATGCAGCCCTTGGGCCACCTGGTCCTCTCTTCAGAATCCTGGGACACCCTCAGCCTGTCTCTGCCAAACATACCCCTAGAGTCTAAGCCCCAGCTTGGCTTCCAGACAGGCACACACAGCCCAGACAGGACAGCTGCTGCCCTTCCTGCAAGGGTGAGAGGTGATAGTGGAGATGAAATGATCTATTTTCTCTATTATTAAAATTAAGCTTTTGTATGGTACTATAAGGTGGATAAATGCCATTATACATTTGTCCAAACTCACAGAACGTACAACACCAAGTAAGAGTGAGCCTTAATATAAACTATGGACTCTGGGTGATAATGATGTGTCAGTGCAGGGTCATTGGTTGTAACAAATGGACCGCTCTGGTGGGGGATGTTGACAGTGTGGGAGGCTGTGTCTGTGTGGGGACAGGAGGTATATGGGAACTCTCTGTACTTTCTGCTCAATTTGCTCTGAACCTAAAACTACTCTAAAGTCTATTAAAAAATTCAGTTCACAGTTGCAAAGACATGGAATCAACTTAAGTGCCCATCAACTGATGAGTGGATAAAGAAAATGCGGTTATATATACACCATGGAATACTACTCAGCCATAAAAAAGAACAAGATAATATTTTTTGCATCAACTTGGACGGAACTGGAGGCCATTATTCTAAGTAAAGTAGCTCAGGAATGGAAAACCAAATACCGCATGTTCTCACTTACAAGTGGAAGCTAAGCTATGAGTGCGCAAAGGCAGCTAGAGTGGTGTAATGGACACTGGAGACTCAGAAGGAAGGGAGGATGAGGGATGAAAAACTACCCACAGGGTACAATGTACACGACTTGGGTGAGGGGTACACTAAAATCCCAGACTTCACCACCACAAATTTCATCCATGTAACCTAAAAGCACTTGTACCCCTAAAGCTATTGAAATAAAAAAATCAAAATTAAAAAGAAAAAAGAATGAGCCAGGTGTGGTGGCTCATGCCTGTAATCCCAGTACATAGGGAGGCAGAGGTGGGAGGATGGCTTGAGCCCAGGAATTTGAGATCAGCTGGGGCAACATAGCAAGATCCCATTCTCCACAAAAAGGGAGAAAAAATAATGTAAAGAGGTTCTAAGACCAAACGTTTTGAGATCCACTATTTTATGAATATATTTTCTAATGTATAACTTGTTCATGTTGAATTCTTTTGAATTCAACTGTATTCAACTGAAAGGGGAGACCTTCTCTCTCTACAAAAAATTTGATTTTTGCCTTTCTTCTCTCTCTAGCAAATGAGCAGGACACACAGAGCCCTTCATAATAGCGACTGAATTATAAGAGAGAGGATAAAACCAGATGATGACAGAATGAAACAGACATGTTAAATAAACTCCTTTGCTGACATGGAATAATATCTACTCATAAGCAAATTTAAGTGCTTTCCTTTAATCTATGCTACAAAGTCAACTCTGAGATTTAAACAAGCCGTAACTATATTCAATGCTATATATACGCTATATATACTATATACTAATGCTACTCAGGCAAGTAGCCTGTTTTTGCAAATAAAGTTTTATTTTACACACACACACACACACACACACACACACACACACACACACACACAAATTGAAGCTAGAGGTAAGCTGACCATGAAATCAACTGAGCAGCCCTTTCACCAAAGCAGTCCCAACTATAGCATGTTGGTACTACAGTCATTTATGGTAGAGTTTGGTCAACAGCTCAAACACTTGTCTGTTTACAGACAATATCTTATTTTTCCAAAACACAGGAAATAATGTCTCTGTGCCAACCCCCCCCCCCACCCAAATCACAGTATCATTTTGCAAAATGTCAGAAAAATATCTTTCTCAGTCTCAGTAATGGCTAAACACAACTCTCCTTGAGAAAAGTCCCAGCAATGTTTACAGAGTGCCATGGTAAATTGCTCTGATGTCTCATTCACATGGGAGGACTTGTTCTTCATTCCTGCTAGCTGTGATGGGCCAGCAGGAGGTAGGTGACCCTGCATACTGTTAGACAAGAAGGTAAAAACAACAAACCAACAGCTTTGATGTCTGTATTTTAAGTATCACTGTCTGTGCAAGCCACGTGGCCGCCCTTCCAATGACTGTGCCTGGAGTGACTGCAAGGTGGTGGATGGTACTTGCTCAGCTGCTACTCACAAGCCTGGGGTATGTGGAAGGAGAAAACAGGAGAGGAGAGAGGAAGAGAGGGAGAGGAAAAAGAAAGAGGGAGGGAGCGGGGAGAGAGAGGGGAAAGAAGTTGAGGAGAGAGGGGAAAGAAGGAGGGAGGGGGGAGAGAGAAAGACGGAGAGAGATAGGGAGAGAGAAAGAGAGGGAAAGAGAAAGAGGGAGAGAGAATGGGAGGGAGTAAGGGAGGGAGATGGGAAAGAGAAAGAGAAAAGGAGACAGAAAAAGATAAAGAAATAGATAGAAATAGAAAAGGAGAAAGAGAAAAGCAAGGGAGGCAGGGTAGGGGGAAGAGCGAAAGCAGAGAAAGAGAAAAAGAGAAGGAGAGAGAGGTAGAGGAGAGAGAGAGAAAGAGAGAGAGGGAGAGAGACAGAGCTATTTCTACAATCCATATTTCTTCTTTTTCTTCTACAGTCTCTGCTACATTCTAATTTGCTTTTTTTTTGCATTAGGAAGGAGATATTTTTTTCTTCTATTTTATTTTGAGAAGAAATATTCCTTTTATTCCTGAAATTGGGATAAGAAATCTGACAGTTACTGAATAAGTTCTTTCACTCCTCGGCACTGAGCAAAGAGAAGTGAAATGTTTCTCAGAGAGAGGTGCAGCAAAAGGGGAAACCCCGTAGGAGGAGGGCATGGCAGATCTGGAAGAGAATCAAAGTCAGGTTCACAGGGTAGCTCTGGAGAGAGAGAAAGAGCTTTGCCAAACTTAGTCTATGAGTTTAAAAATAAGGCTGTTTGATGGGCACTGAAACATCCATCTGTTGGGTGCATGTTCTTCTCTACAGAAAGCATTTGCTCTTGGAAGTCTATCAAGAGGGAAGTGTTTCATATCAAATGGACAGGCATAGCAGCCCCAGTCTGCAGTTCCCTCAGGCATGGCAAGCTGGGCCCTCTCACTCACCATTTGTTTTCCTTGCCCTTCTCCCTCCATCACTGAACACACTGGGCTGGAGTCACCTGTTTACACTCTCACTCACTCACTCACTCACTCTG
>NW_003315906.1:0-110268 GCF_000001405.40 Homo sapiens | reverse complement strand
GAATTCTCTTAAATGGGATAATTTGAAGGTGTTTCATAACAGGATTATACAAAGGAATGGGCAGGGTGTTGGTAAACCACAACGGATAGTGCATTACCCCAGATCTAATAACAGTGGGCTTTGTTACCCCTGTAAGGTCCAAGGGATAGGGAGAGAATGGTCCCTAGAATGGCAACTGGGGAGGTAAATGCTCAACCTCACCCTCTCCATCTCATCTCCTATGGGTGCCACTCTCCAAACCCTACAGACGCCACTGTGCAAAGCCGTCAGCCTCCTGGCCCCACAGCAGAGTGGAAAAGGAACACACCTTGCTACGGCCCAGTTCCCTCATCTGTAAAACAGCCTGTTGATCCTACCTTCTTTCTAGGTTGTCACAATGATAAAAGGAGATGGTGTCCATGAGGCATGAATGCTGTTCCAGCACACAGGAAGTGTGCTCGATGAACAGCTCCAACTGTCTGACTATGGATTTTAATGATTAACTGGCTTCTCAAATTTAGCCTGTCAAAACAGAAAGCTTGAATTTCCCCCTACTTCAAACCTATTTCTTCCGTAGTCTCAGTTAGTGGCGCTACCATCTACCCAACTGCTCAAGCCAGACTCCTCGACACTAGAAGCCGCCCTCTCCACGGCTGTTTTGCCGTTCCACTCTGCTGGCTCTTCTCCAAAATGCATCTCCAAGCCGTCCCCCTCTCTTCGTCTTCACTGCCAACATGCTAGTCCATCACCTACCACCTAGATTCTTCCTAAGCCCGCAGTAGTTCTGCCTGTACCTACCATCTGTTCTTTTTTTTTTTTTTTTTTTTTTTTTGAGACGCAGTTTTGCTCTTGTTGCCCAGGCTGGTGTGCAATGGCATGATCTCGGCTCACTGCAACCTCTGCCTCCCGGATTCAAGTGATTCTCCTGCCTCAGCCTCCCAAGTAGCTGGGATTACAGGCACGCACCACCACACCTGGCTAATTTTTTGTGTTTTTAGTAGAGACGAGGTTTTACCGTGTTAGCCAGGCTGGTCTCAAACTCCTGACCTCAGGTGATCCGCCTGCCTTGGCCTCCCAAAGTGCTGGGATTACAGACGTGAGCCACCGCTCCCGGCTACCATCTATTCTTTACCCAGCAGCGGGAGGGACCTAAACCATCAGTTGGATCATGTCCATCCCCTGGGTAAACCCACCACATTACAAGATCCTGCTCAGGTCCCCTATCTTCACTATGGGCCACGACCCTGCACTCCAGGCACTCAGCCTCATTGCAGCTCTTTGTCTCCTTGGCACCAAGCTTTTTCTTCCTCAGAGCCTTGGCATATATTATTTCTGCCCCCGCCCCGCCGCCATGGAAAACCCCTTTCTCCATTTGCCCCCACCGGTTCCTTCTCATCCTTCAAATTTCAGCTTCAAAATAATCACTTCAAAGAGGCCTTCCTCAACCATCTCATCTTGTCTAAAATATATCCTCTAGGTC
The DNA here is from genome assembly GCF_000001405.40 of Homo sapiens. Lineage (NCBI taxonomy): Eukaryota > Metazoa > Chordata > Mammalia > Primates > Hominidae > Homo > Homo sapiens. The sequence goes on along the minus strand of NW_003315906.1, from coordinate 108,809 downwards.
AGGCATGGTGGCGTGCACCTGTAATCCCAGCTACTCAGGAAGCTGAGGCATGAGAATTGCTTGAACCCAGGAGGCAGAGGTGGCAGTGAGCTGAGATCGTGCCACTGCACTCCAGCCTAGGTGACAAGAGTGAAACTCCGCTTCCAAAAAAATAAATAAATAAAATAAAATACACCCTCTCTCTTCTCCCACTGGCTTCTGTGTTCCAGCACCCTGATCCACTACTTAGTAGCACTTGCAAGGTTTGTAGTTACATATTTATTTCTCTGATACTTGTTGATAGTCTGTCTCCCCACTATACTGTAAATCTCACAGAGGGCAAAGGCCCTGTCTGTTTTGCTCACTACTGTGTCCTTAGGGCCTGATACAGCGTAGGTGCTCGATAAAGATTGGACAGTGGGGAATGGGCAAATGGTAACTAATGAATGCTATGATGATGATGATGCTATCAAAGCCCTTCCAGAGAATCCCACCAGTTAGTATCAGCTGAACCCACAGCTAGTGTCACACCAAAAGTGGCATCAGGGCAGCACTCACAAAGGATGCCCCAAACCATCCCAAGATGGGGCTGGTTGGGATTCCAGTGAATGAAGCACTAAATGCCAGGGCAATCAGGCCAAAGCATACATTAGGGGAACTTACCTACAGAACAGCTACTGCACATCCTTGCTGTGGACAATGGGACAAAGGGTGTTCTACCCAGGTATGTTCTCAAGGAGGGGTTCGGGGTATGGTGTTTATAGGAGTGTTTAAGAAATTTGAAGCCAGTACTATGGCTCACACTTGTAATCCTGGCATTTTGGGAGACCAAGGCAGGAGGACCACTTGAGCATAGGTGTTCAAGACCAACCTGGGCAACAGAGTGACACCAGTCTCTACAAAAATAAAAAGTCAGCACCTGTGGAAAGAAAGGAAAAAAATATTTTTAATAAATAAAAATTTAAAAAGTAGCCAGGCATGGTGGTGCACACCTGTAGTACTGGCTACTTGGGAGGCTGAGGTGGGAGGATCGTTGGAGCCCAGGAAGTCAAGGCTACAGTGAGCCATGATCACACGAGTGCACTCCAGCCAGGGTGACAGAGTGAGACCCTTTAAAAAAAAAAGAAAGAAAACAAGGCTGGGCATGATGGCTCACACCTGTAATCCCACCAGTTTGAGAGGCCGAGGCTGGTGGATACTTGAGGCCAGGAGTTGGAGACCAGCCTGGACAACATGGTGAAACCCCATCTTTACTAAAAATACAAAAATTAGGCCAGGCACAGTGGCTCACACCTGTAATCCCAGCACTTTGGGAAGCTGTGGCGGGCAGATCACCTGAGGTCAGGAGTTCGAGACCAGCCTGACCAACATGGTGAAACCCCGTCTCTACTAAAAATACAAAAATTAGCCAGGCGTGGTGGTGCATGCCTGTAATCCCAGCTACTCAGGAGGCTGAGACAGGATAATCGCTTGAACCCAGGAGGCAGAAGTTGCAGTGAGCCAAGATCACGCCACTGCACTCCAACCTGGGCAACAGAGTCAGACTCAGTCTCAAAAAAAAAAAAAAAAAGAAAAGAAAAGAAAAAAGAAAAACAAAATTAGCTGGGTGTGGTGGTGCACGTCTGTAATCCCAGCTACTCGGTAGGCTGAGGCAGGAGGATCGCAGAGGTTGCAATGAACTGAGATTGCGCCACTGCACTCCAGCCTGGGCGACAGAGTGAGACTCTGTGAAAAAAAAAAGAAAAAAAAGAAAAAAGAAAAAGAAAAAAGGAAGGAAGGGAGGGAGGAAAGAAAATTTCCCTGGGGGTAGGAGTCTATAAGTTTAGCAAAATAGTCGATCTTTCAGTGTTTCCAGCAACAACCTAATCAAGTTTATCAGTGTCTGAGAATGTTCAAGGTACCATCTTGGGTTCAAACATGTAGGCGAAAACATGCAGCTGGCCAGGTTACAGAGTGGTGAAGGCACTCTGCATTTCTTGGTTGAGACAGAGAAAAAAAGTGGTCAGAACTGGGTAACCCTCCCCCCACCATATTATCACAGTGATCCCTTTTGTCTTTCTTCAGGCTCCAGCCCCACCCTACAGCCCCTGCTCCCTGGATTCACTAGAGCTAACTTCAGTAAAGTACAAAGAAAATGGGGCCATATGACTGGCCAAAAAAAAAATATCTATTCACGTGGATGACCAGATAGTATGAATGGATTGAAAATTTATCAGGAAAAAAGGATGAGAGGAAATGCCAGGAGATGAGGGCAGAGAGCAGGCCGTTCTGGGGGAGGGATTCTGTGGGGACAGGGTGGCCTACTGGGTGTGCCCCTTTTCTCTTCTCTGTCTCCCTTAGATAAGACCAGCAGTTTTGTCATCCTCTCCCTCTCATTCCATGGTCCCGCAGCCCCAGGCCCACACTGAAAGCATGTCGATCCAGGAGAACATATCATCCCTGCAGCTTCGGTCATGGGTCTCTAAGTCCCAAAGAGACTTAGCAAAGTCCATCCTGATTGGGGCTCCAGGAGGTAAGAAGGGGAGACAGAAGCCATGGAACATAGGAGGAAAATGAGGGTGAAAACTAGGAGCCAGGGTGGAGGGCATAAATGATCCACATCAGCCACTGGCTAGGTGGGTTTTGGAGAGGAACGTACGTTCTTCAGAGCCTCCCGTGTGTTAAATTATGGACCCTGGCCTGGGTCTTTTCCAGGCCCTATAGGCAGGCCAGAGCCACAGCATGTAAGCCACGGGGCACTCCCGTGGTTCCTGGACTCTGGCCCCTGGCATACAGGGCTTCCAATGGAACAGGAGACAGTGGTGACACTTTAACCAGTCTGCAGAACTGATCCCCAGCCCAGCTGGGCCTCATGCCTCTGACAACCCAACAGTGTGGAGCAGACCCACAGAGAGGGAGACCCAGAGAGGTGTGCAGTGGCATGGAAGGTGCGGCTGGAATCGGGGGCTCCTCTGAACTGGGATGGGTCAAGCTACAGGGACCTCTGTGTCTGTAGCAGCTTTGAGAAGCCTGGGGAGACTCAGAGGATGGGGTGGGGAAGCCAGCCAGTAGCCAGGGGTTGGAAGGGAGAAAACAGAGACCTTTGGAGCAGGAACTGGGTGATTCTGGGTCTGCATAGGGTGAGGCTGCTGGGGACTAGACATCAAGGGGTGGTGGGGTTGAGGGTCATCAGTAGCTGCAGGTCGGGGGGTCCTGGGTTGTGCGGGGTCAGTATAACTGAGTGGTCAAGAACTTGGGCTAGAGTTAGTCAGACCTAGATTTGAATCCTAGCTGATCCATACTTAGAAGCTGTATAATATTGGACCATTTATTTCCTGTTTCTCAGCCTCTGTTTCTTTATCCATAAAATTGGATAATTATAGAACATTTAACAGTACCTGCTTTATAGGATCCTTGTGACATAATAAAATAATATATGCATGATGCCCAGCTCATAAGAAGGGAAGGAACAGAGGGTATGCTGAGAGACGAAGGCATGGGGAGGAAGGGCAGGTGACATGCAGTCCCTGAGCCCCCTTCTACCACAGGGCCAGCGGGGTATCTGCGGCGGGCCAGTGTGGCCCAACTGACCCAGGAGCTGGGCACTGCCTTCTTCCAGCAGCAGCAGCTGCCAGCTGCTATGGCAGACACCTTCCTGGAACACCTCTGCCTACTGGACATTGACTCCGAGCCCGTGGCTGCTCGCAGTACCAGCATCATTGCCACCATCGGTAAGCACTCCCATCCCCCTGCAGCCACACAGGGCCTATTGGTATTTCTTGAGGTGCTTCTTCATCTTTTGTCTCCTTTGAGACTTCTCCATGTTTGACACAGTCATTCATTTAACAAAAATTTGTTGAGCATATAGTAGACAAGATTTTGGGCCCTGGGAGTAGATCAGTGAAAAAAACAGACAAAAATCCCTACCCTTGGGGAGCTGACAGTCTAGCTGAGTATGACAATAAATAGTAAGCACAATAAATTATTTAAAATAAGTAAATTATTTATTCCGTTAGAAAGTGAGGCCGGGCATGGTGGCTCATGCCTGTAATCGCAGCATGTTGGGAGGCCCAGGTGGGCAGATCACTTGAGGTCAGGAGTTCGAGACTAGCCTGACCAACATGGAGAAACCCCGTCTCTACTAAAAATACAAAATTAGCCGGGCATGGTGGTGCGTGCCTGCAATCCCAGCTACTCAGGAGGCTGAGGCAGGAGAATCGCTTGAACCCAGGAGGCGGAGACTGTGGTGAGCCGAGATCACACCATTGCATTCCAGCCTGGGCAACAGGAGAAAAACTCCATCTCACAAAAAAAAAAAAAAAAAAAAAAAAAAAAAAGTGGGCTGGGCTCAGTGGCTCATGCCTGTAATCCCAGCACTTTAGGAGGCCAAGGTTGGCAGATCGCTTGAGCCCAGGAGTTTGAGACCAGTCTGGGTAAATGGCAAAACCCATCTCTACAAAAAATACAAAACTTAGTTGAGTGTGGTGGTGCATGCCTGTAGTCCCAGCTACTCAGGAGGCTGAGGTGGGAGGATCACTTAAGCCCAGGAGGTCACGGCTGCAGTGAGTCATGATCGAGCCACTGTACTCCAGCCTAGGTGACAGACGAGACCCTAGAGAGAAAGAGAGAAAGAAAGAAAGAAGGAAAGAAAGAAAGAAAGAGAGAGAGAAAGAAGGAAGGAAGGAAGGAGGGAGGGAGGGAGGGAAGGAAGGAAGGAAAGAAAGCAAGCAGGCAAGAAAGAAAGAAAGAAAAGAAAGAAGGAAGGAAGGAAGGAAGGAAAGAAAGAAAGAAAGAGAAAGAAAGAAAGAAAGAAAGAAAGAAAGAAAGAAAGAAAGAAAGAAAGAAAGAAAGAAAGAAAGAAAGAAAGAAAGAAAGGAGTGAAAGTTGGCCGGGCATGGTGGCTCTTGCCTATAATCCCAGCACTTTGGGAGGCTGAGGCAGGTGGATCACCTGAGGTCAGGGGTCCGAGACCAGCCTGGCTAATGTGGTGAAACTCTGTTTCTACTAAAAATACAAAAAATTAGCCAGGCATGGTGGCATGTGCCTATAATCCCAGCTACTCGGGAGGCTGAGGCAGGGGAATCGCTTGAACCCGGGAGACAGAGATTGCAGTGAGCCAAGATCACGCCATTGCACTCCAGTTTGGGCAACAAGAGCGAAACTCTGTTTGTTTGTTTGTTTGTTTTTAAAAAAAGAAAAAAAAGCTGGGCGCGGTGGCTCACGCCTGTAATCCCAGCACTTTGGGAGGCCGAGGCGGGCGGATCACCTGAGGTCAGGAGTTCGAGACCAGCCTCAACATGGAGAAACCCCGTCTCTACTAAAAATACAAAAAATTATCCGGGCATGGTGGTGCATGCCTGTAATCCCAGCTACTCAGGAGGCTAAGGCAGGAGAATTGCTTGAACCTGGGAGGCGGAGGTTGCGGTGAGCCAAGATCGTGCCATTGCACCCCAGCCTGGGCAACAAGAGCGAAACTCCGTCTCAAAAAAAAAAAAGGCCAGGCGTGGTGTTTCATGCCTGTAATCCCAGCACTTTGGGAGGCCGAGGCAGACTGATCACGAGGTCAAGAGATCGATACCATCCTGGCCAACATGGTGAAACCCCGTCTCTAATAAAAATACAAAAATTAGCTGGGCGTGGTGGCACATGCCTGTAGTCCCAGCTACTCGGAAGGCTGAGGCAGGAGAATCACTTGAACTGGAAGGCAGGGAGCAGAGATCGCACCTCTGTCCTCCAGCCTGGTGACAGAGCGAGATTCCATCTAAAAAAAAAAGAAAAGAAAAGAAAGAAAAAGTGAAAGTTTTAAGTGCTATGGGGAAAGAAATCAAGTGTGATAAGGGCATCAGGAGTACGAGGGTGAAGACAGGTTGCAGCCCTAAATAGGGAGGTCAGTTATTATTGAGTAAATGAGACCAAAGGGAAGACTTGAAGGAGATGAGAGAATTAGCCATGCAGAGACCTGGGGGAAGAGAATTCCAGGAAGAAGGATCAGTCAGTGTCAAGGCCTAAGTCAAGAAGGTTAGAAGAGCTAGAAACCATCAAGGGGGAAGAGCGGCAGACATGAAGAGACTGTGTACGGACAGGAAGATCAGGTGCAGCTTTGTAGGCCATTTTTAGAATTTGAGTTGCGTTTTCCTCCGAGTGAAATGAGAAACTGCTGCAGGGTTTTGAGCAGGGGAATGACAAGCTCTTATTTATGTTTTAATAGAGCCTCCCCTCCCCTGCTGCTGCACTGAAAATAGATGGGGGGTGGGGGGAAGGGTGCCCCTGCAGTATTTCTGGCTCAGACCAGTTGGCGGCAGTGAGGTGGTGAGAAGTGGTCAGATTCTGAATGTATTTTGCAGGTAGAGCTGACAGGATTTGCTAATTGATCGGATATGGGGTATGGAGTGTGGGCGAGAAAGAAAGGAGTCAAAGGTGACAGGTGACTCTGAGGTTTTTGCCATAAGGAACTGGAACGATGCATTAGCCACTGAGCAGGAAAGACTGTGGTGGAAGGGGTTGGGGGGAGAGCAGAAGTTTGCTTGGGACATGTTGAGTCTGAGATGCTTATTAGCCATCCAAATGTGATAGAGGGGGCAGTCAGGTACACAACTCTGGGTTTGGGAGAAAGGTCTGGATTGGAGAGACATTTGGGAGTTGGCTACATATAGATGGTATCTCAAGCCATGAGACTAGTTGAGACCACCAAAGGAGTGTAGGTGAAATGACGGAGAAGAGAACAGGGTATCTAACGTTAAGGGGAGGAACAAGGAAAGGAGACTGGGAAAGAGCAGCTAGTGAGGTAGGAGTCAACCAAGAGAGGGTGCAGCCCTGGAGGTCAGGTGAAGACAGTGTGTCAAAGAAGGATGTATGTTCAGGCTGCTGATGGGCCAATAGAGGAGGACTGAGCATTGAGCATTACATGGAGCAAAAACACAGAGGTTCTTGGTGACCTTGACAAGAACAGATGCAGTGGAGAGATGGAGGCCAACGCCTGAGTGGGGTGGGTTCAAGGGAGAATGGGGGAGGGGAACTAGAGGTAGCAAGTACAGATAACTCTTGCGATGAGTTTTGCTGCAAGTGAGAGCAAATACTGGGACTGAGGGGAAACCAGGAGATTAAGAGAATTTTTTTTTAATGATGAAAGAAATAACAGTAGGTTTACCTGCGGATGGGGATGATCCAGTAAAAAAGGAAAACATGGCTGGGCACGGTGACTCACACCTGTAATCCCAGCATTTTGGGAGGGCGAGGTGGATGGATCACCTGAGGTCAAGAGTTCAAGACCAACCTGGCCAGCATGGTGAAACCCCTTCTCTACTAAAAATACAAAAAAATTAGCCAGGCGTGGTGGTGCACACCTGTAATCCCAGCTACTCAGGAGGCTGAAGCAGGATAATCACTTGAACTGGGGAGGCAGAGGTTGCAGTGAGCTGAGATGGTGCCACTGCACTCCAGCCTGGGCGACAAGAGTGAAACTCCCCCCGTCTCAAAAAAAAAGAAAGAAAAAGAAAAGGAAAACATGGGTGTCACAGAGGACCACAGAATGGCTTAATTTATGTCCTTGAGCAGGTGAGAAGGAGGAGACCTAGTGCACAAGTGGAAAGACAGATAGGGACCGAAGAATGAGCCAACCTGCTCTCGGCTAGCAGCTGCCCCATAGCAGTGCAGGCATGGGATAGAACTCAGCTCTCCTCAGTCCATGAGGCCTCCTAGCTCTAAAAGCCCGCACCCAAACGCCCTCACCTGGCTCCCAGCCCCTGCCCTACACCCCATACCCTGGGGTAGCCGGGCAAGCAGCACTTACATACCCATGCCCATACAGTGCCCATACATGCCCATACAGTGACCTCAGGCCTGGCGGAGGGCACTCCCCTCCGATTTCCACACTGCTGCCTCCCCAAGGGGATGGATGTTGGCTTGAGAGGGAAGGGGAGTCTGTGATCTGTGGGCAGGGGTTGCATCAGGGAATAAAGATCAGGTAACAGGACGCCTGTGGCGTGAGGCGTTCTGAGAATGGTAATGGGTTGGGTTTGGTTGCCTCTCATGTTCTGGGGGAACGTTGTCTGAACGTGAATCTCTGGTTCTAGGGCCAGCATCTCGCTCCGTGGAGCGCCTCAAGGAGATGATCAAGGCCGGGATGAACATTGCGCGACTCAACTTCTCCCACGGCTCCCACGAGGTGCGGGACGGGCCGCCGGGCAGTGGGTGGGGCAGGAGGATGCCTCGAGGTCCTGGCCACCTTCCCCTGAAACCCTCGCTCCGCTCCCTCCCCCAGTACCATGCTGAGTCCATCGCCAACGTCCGGGAGGCGGTGGAGAGCTTTGCAGGTTCCCCACTCAGCTACCGGCCCGTGGCCATCGCCCTGGACACCAAGGGACCGGAGATCCGCACTGGGATCCTGCAGGGGGTGAGCAGTGGGGCTGGGACTCGCTGGGCCAGGGCCGGAAAGGCGGCGCCTGTAGGGTTGGGCCCAGGCGTGGGCAGGGGCGGGTCCCGGACTCCGGGGCTCAGAACTCACATCTCCTCTGGCTCCCTCCTTAGGGTCCAGAGTCGGAAGTGGAGCTGGTGAAGGGCTCCCAGGTGCTGGTGACTGTGGACCCCGCGTTCCGGACGCGGGGGAACGCGAACACCGTGTGGGTGGACTACCCCAATATTGTCCGGGTCGTGCCGGTGGGGGGCCGCATCTACATTGACGACGGGCTCATCTCCCTAGTGGTCCAGAAAATCGGTGCGGACGCGCCTCCCGCCCTGACCACATCCGTGCGCTGGGCACATTCCCTTCTCCTTGGCTCCCCCATCAGCCCTCAGACCGATCACACCTTCCCCTGGCCACGCGTTTTTGCCAGCCCGTCCCAGGAGTCCCCAGCGTGTAGACTCTGCGCTCACCCTGGGTTTGGGCTGGACTATGGGTGGGTCGTTTCTTCCACGGACGTCCATCTGTGCCTCTTCCGGGCGAAGCCCAGAACAAGGGCGGAGAGATGAGGAGGACATGGTTCCTGACCTCTTGCGGGTCCAAGCCCCAGTGTCCTCTCTGCTGCAACTGTGCCCCGTCCTCACCCCTGACCGCAGCTGGCTCTTTCCATGTCCGCAGGCCCAGAGGGACTGGTGACCCAAGTGGAGAACGGCGGCGTCCTGGGCAGCCGGAAGGGCGTGAACTTGCCAGGGGCCCAGGTGGACTTGCCCGGGCTGTCCGAGCAGGACGTCCGAGACCTGCGCTTCGGGGTGGAGCATGGGGTGGACATCGTCTTTGCCTCCTTTGTGCGGAAAGCCAGCGACGTGGCTGCCGTCAGGGCTGCTCTGGGTCCGGAAGGACACGGCATCAAGATCATCAGCAAAATTGAGAACCACGAAGGCGTGAAGAGGTGAGGCTTGGGCTCTGTTCCCCTTCGGCCCTGTCGCTATTCCCCATCACCTTTCTTCTCCTGCCTGCCTCTGCCTTGATTCTCCCAACCTCTCAGGTTTGATGAAATCCTGGAGGTGAGCGACGGCATCATGGTGGCACGGGGGGACCTAGGCATCGAGATCCCAGCAGAGAAGGTTTTCCTGGCTCAGAAGATGATGATTGGGCGCTGCAACTTGGCGGGCAAGCCTGTTGTCTGTGCCACACAGGTCTGGAGTGAGGCCTTGAGGTTCGGCACTCTGTGGGTTTTAGGGACACCTGTGGGTGAATACCCACACTGTAGGGGTTTATTTTGTTTTGTTTTGTTTTTTGAGACGGAGTCTCACTCTGTCATCCAGGCTGGAGTGCAGTGGCGCAATCTCCGCTCACTGCAACCTCCGCCTCTTGGGTTCAAACAATTCTCCTGCCTCAGCCTCCCAAGTAGTGGGGATTACAGGTGACCGCCGCCATGCCAGGCTACTTTTTGTATTTTCAGTAGAGACGGGGTTTCACCATGTTGGCCAGACTGGTCTCGAACTCCTGACCTCAGGTGATCTACTCGCCTCGGCCTCCCAAAGTGCTGGGATTACAGGTGTGAGCCACTGCACCCAGCCCACACTGTAGGTTTATAGCACATTTGGATGAAAAGTGTTTGATCCTCAAACGACAAAGTTAAATATACTTTGACCCCTATTTTCAGGGGTTGTGACCAAACGACAAAGTTAAATATACTTTGACTCCTATTTTCAGGGGTTGTGACTGTGACCCTGGATTTTGGGACACTCTGAGAGTGTGGGTGTCAGAGAAGTAGCTTGGGCAGGGTCCCCAGTCACAGTGTGAGTCCTACAACTTTGACATCCACGCTGTCCCCCAGATGCTGGAGAGCATGATTACCAAGCCCCGGCCAACGAGGGCAGAGACAAGCGATGTCGCCAATGCTGTGCTGGATGGGGCTGACTGCATCATGCTGTCAGGGGAGACTGCCAAGGGCAACTTCCCTGTGGAAGCGGTGAAGATGCAGCATGCGGTAGGAGCTCAGAATGAAAAGCAAATGGGCCAGGGAACCAAATCCCTTCCATACCCCAGTGCCCCTTCCCAGACTAACATTCTGGCACCTGCAGATTGCCCGGGAGGCAGAGGCCGCAGTGTACCACCGGCAGCTGTTTGAGGAGCTACGTCGGGCAGCGCCACTAAGCCGTGATCCCACTGAGGTCACCGCCATTGGTGCTGTGGAGGCTGCCTTCAAGTGCTGTGCTGCTGCCATCATTGTGCTGACCACAACTGGCCGGTGAGGGGGATATTGGGAATGTCCAGATGGAGCTTTGGGTCAGGGGTGGGCTGGGACGGGCCCCAGGCTTGGGTTTAGTCTGGTCACCAGGGGTGAAGAGTGTCCACCTGAGACAAGAGGAGAGGCAGCAATGACAGCTGGAGGCCAGGAGAGACAGAATGCCAGTGAGCTTCTGGGGGCTGGAAGGGGACAGCGGCATCACTGGGCACATTGGCTTCAAGGCCATTTGGGCTTCTGGGGCTCAGAGGCAAGTCCATTCGGCCCACAGAGCCTACCAATACTGAGGTATTACAGAAGGGTCCAGTAGGTCTGAGTTTAAGTCTTTACTCAGAAATGTAGCTCTATTAGCCTGCTGTCTTTCCTCATGAACAGGACAAGGTAATGATTTGTTCTTCATGGGGTTGGCAGGATTAACAGGAGATATTAAGTACTAGATAGTACTTAATATCTATATAGTAAATTAAGCACATAATGGACTTTCTCAAAAGGGTTTTATACTCTTGGGTTTTTGTTTGTTTGTTTTGTTTTGTTTTTCTTTTGAGAACGGCAGCTCGCTCTGTTGCTCAGGCTGGAGTAAAATGGTGCAATCTCAGCTCACCACAACCTTCACCTCCCAAGTTCAAGTGATTCTCCTGCCTCAGCCTTCCGAGTAGCTGGGATTACAGGCGCATGCCACAACGCCCTGCATATTTTTTGTATTTTTAGTAGAGACAGGGTTTCATCATGTTAGCCAGGCTGGTCTCAAACTCCTGACCTCAGGTGATCCACCCTCCTTGGCCTCCCAAAGTGCTGGGATTATAGGCATGAGCCACTGTGCCTGGCCAGCTTTTATATTTCTTAAAGAGATTTCTCCTTATTATCTCATTTGATATATCTGTATTATCTCATATCTTTCTTGTGTGGTAGGGAGGGCAGGCATTCTTTCTTTTTTTTTTCTTAATGCAGAGATGGGGTCTCACTATGTTGCCTAGGCTGGTCTCCAGCTCCTGGGCTCAAACAATTCTCCCATCTCGGCCTCCCAAAGTGCTGGGATTACAGGCATGAGCCACCGCTCCCGGCCTGGGAGGCAGGCATTCTTACACTCATTTTACAGGTGAGAACACCAAGGCCCAGAGAAGTATGATGACTTACCCAGGGTCACACAGCTTGTTAGTGACACCTGGAACTGGAACAAAGATTCTCCTTTCCTCGTTCACCACTTTCTTGCTGTTCTGGGCTGACCTTCTCTGCCTCCTCCAGCTCAGCCCAGCTTCTGTCTCGGTACCGACCTCGGGCAGCAGTCATTGCTGTCACCCGCTCTGCCCAGGCTGCCCGCCAGGTCCACTTATGCCGAGGAGTCTTCCCCTTGCTTTACCGTGAACCTCCAGAAGCCATCTGGGCAGATGATGTAGATCGCCGGGTGCAATTTGGCATTGAAAGTGGTGAGCTACCTAGACCTTCCCTGCCACTCCTACCATTTGTATCAGGAGCCCCCCAACCCAGCTTCCCATACCCACTCAAAGGGCCTTGCCTCTCTCCTGTGGTCCCAGGTTTTCCCTGTGAGAGTCACTAAGACTGAGATATCAGTCTGGCATATCACAAATACCTCTTCCATCAGCATAGCCACACAGGCAGACGGCCGTGCTACTTAGCAACACACTCTGCCCTAGCCCACAGATACTCCTGCACCTTTTTTTTTTTTTGAGAGAGAGTCTTGCTCTGTCGCCAGGCTGGAGTGCAGGGGTACGATCTCGGCTCACTGCAATCTCTGCCTCCTGGGTTCAAGTGATTCTCCCACCTCAGCCTCCTGAGTAGCTGGGACTACAGGCATGCGCCACCACGCCTGGATAATTTTTGTATTTTTAGTAGAGACAGGGTTTCACCATGTTGGCCAGGATGGTCTCAATGTCTTGACCACGTGATCCGCCCGCCTCGGACTCCCAGAGTGCTGGGATTACAGGCGTCAGCCACCGTGCTGGCATCTCTTACACCTTTAATATACTGCAGTGGTCACATTCCCTGCATGCCACCCGTGGGACATACTTCACTGCCTCATTCCCTACAGGATGGCCTTGATGTGGTGAAAGGTGGTGGCTGGTTCTCGTTACAGGGCTGGCCTGGTCCCTCAATGACTAATTTTCTTTCTTTTCTTCTTTTATTATTATTATTATTATTATTATTATTATTATTATTATTATTATTATTATTTTGAGATGGAGTCTTGCTCTGTCCCCAGGCTGGAGTGCAGTGGTGTGATCTCGGCTCACTGCAACCTCTACCTCCTGAGTTCAAGCGATTCTCCTGCCTCAGCCTCCCTAGTAGCTGGGATTACAGGCATGCGCCACCACACCCAGCTAATTTTTGTATTTTCAGTAGAGACAAGGTTTCACCATGTTGGCCAGGCTGGTCTCAAACTCCTGACCTCAGGTGATCCTCCTGCCTTGGCTTCCCAAAGTGATGGGATTACAGGTGTGAGCCACCACACCTGTCCAATGATTTGTTTTCTTTCCCTCCCCCAGGAAAGCTCCGTGGCTTCCTCCGTGTTGGAGACCTGGTGATTGTGGTGACAGGCTGGCGACCTGGCTCCGGCTACACCAACATCATGCGGGTGCTAAGCATATCCTGAGACGCCCCTCCCTCCTCTGGCCCAGCCTACCCTTGTACCCCATCCCTTCCTCCCCAGTCTACGTTCTCCAGCCCACACCCCTCCAAAGCCCCACCTTTAAGTCCTCTCTTCTCTATTCCTGACCCTCCCTACCTGAGGCCTATCTGAGACTATAACTGTCATCTAGCCCCTTCGAGGTTGCCCCTTCCCCATCTCCATTTCACACAGGTCCTGAAAGTCTGTGTCCAATTATGCACTGGCCACCCAACAGCACCAATTGTACATTCCCTGCATCCAATCTGCTCAGCAGGCCCTAAGATGCCTTGAGTCTTTAATCCCAGTTTGGCTGGTTAATTCCATAACCCCAGGCATCCCATCCCTTGGGGTGGGGGAGAGGGGAGACAGGGCAATCTTGTCCACAGTCTCCCATTCTCATATGTAGCCCTCATGATAATCTGGGCATCTCGTGCCAGGGCAGGCTACCCCTTCATGGTGACTAACAGTTACATGAAAGTCCACGCTTTTGGGAAAACTGGGTGGGATGGATGCTGGGGAGAAGTGAGGGCTGGGCAGCTGATTTTGTCACTGTCTTCACAACCTCCGTGCTGGGCTTGTAGACCACTGTCCTGGCTGCTCTCATGCCTGCCTGATACCCTGCTTGGTCAAATCCCCGGCTGCTTCCTTCTGCACCCAGAAATTCCTTCCCACTCATGTTGTTCCCACACACAAACCAAGAGCCAAAAATGAGTGTGTCTATTTTATATTTAAACCCAGCTGTTTGGAAGCAATTATAAAACTTCTCCCACACACCAAGAACCCCAGAACTCCCCACCCAGAAGGAAAGGAGACTTAGGGTCCTGGTCCCACAGTCTTTAATGCTGTAGAGTAGGAGAGGGGACAGGCAGAGTGAGGGTGGTAAAGGACTACTCTTGTCCCTGAGAAGGCAGAGGTGCTGGCTGGCCTGCCCTTCCCCAGGCTTGGATACCTTGGGCCTTTCCCTTATTCCTGCACCAACAGCAAACTCAGAAGGAAAAAACAAAACAAAACTCTAAAGGTAAACGCGGTCCTTCTCCCTCTCTCATGTGGCTCCTCCTGCCCCTACCTGGGAGAAGGTTCAAGTATTGCGCTGATGGGTTTGGGCAAGGACCACAGAGGCTGGCATGGAGAGGCCCTGCCTCCTCCTACTCCTCCTGTCTCCTTACCTGAAAAGGAGGGGAGGGATGGATAAAGGAATGGGTAAACAAAATTAATTGGTAACACATAAAGTTAGTAAATGAATAAATACAATTAAATAAATGAATAAATAAACAAGCGAAGAAAAAAATATCACACAAGGATTCAGCCATTTGCCCCTCCACCGGGGGGGATCTAGGCTGGCATATTAATAAGGAGGTGCCAACTACCCCTTAACTTTTAGGGGGTCACGACTGGGGCAGAGGGTACAGGGAAGAGGAAGCTCGCAGTTTACAAAAAGATGGTCTACCACAGGACAGAGACTGCAGGGAACTTAGAAGTATGTTCCCACTCAGAGGGTAGACACAGAGTGTCCACAGGTGGCAGTGAGCGGGTAAAAGTGGATACCCACACTCAGGACCCAAGACATCTGCTGACAGCAATGGGGGCACAGGTGACTGGCAGTGCCTGGCTATGCTACAGGAACAGGAAGATAACCAGACCGGGCAGAACCTGCAGGATCATTGGCAGGGAAACAGAGACATCTAGTTACTTGGCAGTGATGGCAGTGGCAAGTACTTGTGCTTAGTAAAGGTGGGGTCATGGGCCTGGGCCTGCACCTGGCAGGACCATAGCCAAGGGAATATCCTTGTCAGAGGGTTTTGAGTCACTTCTACTTGGCAGTGGAGACATACAGCGCCTGGCATATTACCTTGAACATGGTAGCTGCTCAGTACACATGATGAACGGGTGAATGGATTATGATGGGACAAGCTACAGGATTCTTGAGCTGAGGACACAGAGACCGTCTTCATGGCAGTATGCGGAATGTCCGCACAGGGTCGACATTTCCATGGGGCAATGTTTCAGGTCCCCATGGCCTTCCCCAAGAGGCATCTGCCCTTGGGTACATACTACTGCACCCCAAGAACTAAGGCTGGATGTACTCAAAGGTTTTACATGTTGGCAGAAAGCTGGAGACCCCGGGGTGTGGCTGGCTCAGGCACTGGTGGCCTGGGGGGCTGGGCTGTCCTTGGAGGTTTGGCCAGGAGCCCTGAGGGAGGCAGCCGCTCACTTCCTGATCCCTTACGCCCAGGAGAGCCATCGCCTGTTGCCCGCTGAGGCAGAGAGGGTTGGGAGGCTGAGAGTGGGCGGCCCCGAGGTCCTAGCCGCCGTCCACCTCCTCCTGGAGGGGGACCCAGCAGGGAGACCTGGGAGCGCCCTGCCCGGGATAGGCTGGCGTGCAGGGTTCGGGCAGGTGGGGCGGGCAGGCGGGAGGTGGATGCCCATGGGCCAGCTCGGACGGGCACCAGCGGGGAAGCTGGAGAGCCTGCTGAGCGCCAAGCAGAGCGAGCAAGGAGGGTGGCTGGAGAGTCAGGGGAGAGGGGCAGAGGGCCCCGCTGATGAGTCAGGGCAATGGCCACATTGGAGGTCACAGCAGCTGCCTGAAGGGGCGCATGTACCAGTGGCTCCCACAGTACTGGCTTTCCACTAAGCTGAGCTCCTGTGCTCGGGGCCCGACCCCGAACACCCCGAGCCATGTCTCTGTCATGTTGCACCAAGTGCTGCTCCATGATGCCACCACTGCTGCCTGGACTTGGCTCGGAGCGCTTCCGCTGCAGTATGGAATTCTTCTTGCCTAGAAGTTGTACCGGGAGGGAGAAGTTAAGGATAGGGAAGGAATCCAAGATGGATGTTGGATATCAAAGAGTATGAGAGTATCAGGATGGGGTGGGGTTGAGGGTAGGGGATGGGAGTCAGTAGTATGGCAATGGGGCTATGGGGGTTGAGATGGGGGTTGGAGGAAGAGGGTATGTATCAGAGACAGCGAGGGTCAGGGGACTGGTACTCAGGGGAAGGAGGACTCAGGACATGGGGGCTTGGGATGCTATCTCTCCTGGGAAGGACATGCTGAGGGATAGGGACAGTGGGCCACAGTGTTGAAAGTCCTGTTAGGGAGCATTTGTTGGGACTGAATGGATTGGGATATGACCCTGGAGCCCTAAAGCCTGGGCTCCTTGCTTTGGAGGTGGGGTGAGAGCACAGTCTGGACCCAGAGCAGATGGGGTGGACAGGTCTCACCGATGCGGAGCAGCCGATCCATGGCCACAGTCTCAAAGGCCCGGCGCATCATGGGGAACTCCTCAAGCACAGCATTGAAATGGTCCACGCTGAGTGAGTAAAGGCGGCAGTAGGTGTCAGCCCGAACACTGGCTGTGCGCCGGCCCCTAGTTAGCAGGCAGATCTCTGCAGAAATTGGGAGGAAGCTTCAGAACCCCGTCCTTGTCCCCAGAACTCCTCTTGCTGAGCCTGCAGCAGTGGACCCAACTTTCTAAGGCTCCTCCCTAGACTTGGGAGAAACCATTGATTACCTATTACCTCCGTGCCCCAGGAACCCTAAACACCCCAAGCATTGTCTTTCTCCAGACCCCCACAATTACTGGGTTACTGCTCCCTGTCCTTCCTACTCTCTCCATATGAAGGCTGATGACCAGGCAGGTCTTGCTGGCCCTAAATTCCCAGTGATTCCACTCCACTTTAACTCCCACCCCTCCCCGACTGCTCAATCCCAAGAGGTAGACCTGGGCAACTCAGTGTACCCACCCCTCCCACCCCCTTGAATAAACACTGAGGGCAGCCCTGAAGGAGAAAAGCAGTATCAAAGAGCAAAGTGCAACATGATGGGAGTAGTGGGTGGTTTGGGGACTGAGAGATTATATAAGCCTCAGGTCACTTTGGGCAGTGGAAGGCTGAACTGCCCCTACTGCCACAGGCTGGGTCCCTGAAACACGCCACCAGGCAGCTCCAAAAAGCTTATGCTCCAGGACAGCTCTGCTTCACTCCTGCCTTTCCCTCATCTCATAGGATCCTTGGATTTCACTGTCTAAGGGTTCTAAAAGGCCCTCTGGCCCAGTAGTTTGCAACCTGGCTGTGCATTAGAATCTCCTGAGAAGCTTTAAAAACTACAGAGCTCAGGCCTGGCACGGTGATTCACGCCTGTAATCCCAGCACTTTGGGAGGCTGAGGCGGGCGGATCACGAGGTCAGGAGATCGAGACCATCCTGGCTAACACAGTGAAACCCCGTCTCTACTAAAAATACAAAAAATTAGCCAGGCGTGGTGGCGGGTGCCTGTGGTCCCAGCTACTCGGGAGTGTGAGGCAGGAGAATGGCGTGAACCCAGGAGGCAGAGCTTTCAGTGAGCCGAGATTGCGCCACTGCACTCCAGCCTGGGCAACAGAGCGAGACTCCACCTCAAAAAACAAACAAACAAACAAACAAACAAAAACTATAGAGCTCCAGACCCCAGCCCAGAGATTCTCACTGAGTAGGCCTGGGGAGGGGCTGGAGCTCTGTGATTCTGCAGCGTACTGAGGCAGGGACCCAGAGCCTGGGAGCAGTTGCCCTCTCCACTGTCTGCTCGTGACCCTGCCACCCTCCCTGAGGCCTGCTGACCCCCAAAGTAGGATCCATCGGTGAGGCGTGTGTCCCGGGCGCCGCGGGCCAGCACACTGAGCAGCCCATGCTGGATGAAGTACATCTTCCTCCCCACGGAGCCCTCACGCACCACGAGATCCCCCGGCTGGAAGACCTCAAAGCGCAGCTTGGTGAGAACTGCAGTGACGAAGCTGGGGTCGGCATGGGCAAACAGCGGCATGTGGGCCACCAGGCCCCGACAGGTGAAGTTAATGATCTCCTGGACAGGGGAGGGGCCTGTCAGGCAGGCTGTGCCCCTGACCTGAGATGATCCCACCGAGCTCATCCGCTTCCAGAAACCCCACCCCTGGGGTCATGTTCTGCCAAAGGATGGGGAGGCATCAGTGGGCCTGGGACCATCCCTAAGCTCCTGCCTTCAGATCTTTCCCATGAGCCCTTGCAGGACCATCCCCCAAAAACAGAGATCCCTATAGTCCCTCCTCATGTATCCTTCACCCTCAAAGGGCCTTCAAGAAAGACCCTAGCCCCTGAAAGCCCAAATACCTGGCCTCCCACGGGGCCCTCTGCAGGCCTCATTCCCTATAGGAGCACCTGCTGACCAATAGCCCCTACCACCAGACAGCACTCCAGGTCCCTGAAGAGCCCCCCTTCCAGGCCCAACCCAGCCCCACCTCGCGAAGCGGCTCGCTCAGCTCGCCCAGGATGCTTTCCTCATCGAACATCTTGCCCTGGTAGCGGTGCTCATAGTACTCGTGGATGCGCTGCCGCGTGTCTGCTGGCAGCTTGTGGAAGGACATGTACTGCTCCACCTGCTTGTACTGGAGGGCCAGCCCATTGCCAGGGGCAAGAGGACAGAGGGAGAGATTTGGGGCCGGCACAGTGGGGTGTGTGTGCGGAAGGTCAGAGACACAGGTCAAACTCAAAGGGGTGAAACGTGGAACCAGACATGGATACACAGGGCCACAGAGGAATACGGATAATGATGGATACCGGGAAGACACAGAGCACAGTCATAGGAAAACCCAGGCGTGGACAGCAGAGGGGCCAAGCACAGGCATAGGTTCAAACAAGGAAAAGGTACATGCAGGGGCAGGGAACAAATGGACACAGGGCAGGAAAGGAAACAGAGACGCAACAGGGGCACACATCAGAATGGGCCTCAAGTCAGGCTACCCAGTCTCCAACACCCCTCCATGCCACACCTCCCTCTCCTGTCCCTGCTGACCTTCTCCTGGTACTGACGCCGGGAAGAGTCCAGGGACTGGATGAGTGCCGTGGCATGGCCGATGAACATGGCGTAGCATGTGGCACCTACGATCATGCTGAGCATGGTGAGCCAGACGTCGGGCATGCCTACAGGTGCCTGCTGCCCATAGCCAATGCACAGCATGTGGCTCATGGCCTTGAACAGGGCATGGGAATACTGGCGGCCCCACGAGTGGTTCTGAGGGGCAGAGTATATTGCAGAGCTGGGCATGGGCCCCTCGGAGCCTCATTCTCTGCCTGCCCCTTTTCCTTCTTTGGTCTTTCTGTCTGCCCCTTCTACTGCAGGCCTTCCTCCTGGCAGGCACTTAAGTTTGGTTCTGGGGGGCCCTGAGGCAAAAGGGTCCTCTATTGCAACTTGGGGGCCTCAGCTTCCGGGTAGGTACCCTTCCTTTGCCTGCTCCCTCCAACACACGAGCACTTCTTCTGGGTCTCCTTCCCCTTTCCTCCCTCCTCCCCACCTCCTCGCTCCTATTTTCTGTTGTGATCATCTCCCACCTCCTGCTCCCTGTGGCCATCCCTGCTACTCAGGCAGAAGAGCCCTAAGAAGGCCCAGGAAAGGCAGAGCTGTGGGGACTTCTCACCACCATGTGGTTGATGGAGACCCAGCAGTCGGGAGGGAAGTCCTGCAGCATGGGCACCAGGAACTGCAGACAGCCATCCCAGTGACATAGCAGCAGCATCATCCCAATGAGGTTGAAGATGCGAACCACAGCACTGGCCAGGTCATAGGTCATGTGAAAGATCTGAGGAGTCCGAGGAGGAGCTGCTGTGGACAGGAACCCCTCCCTGCTTGTCCTCCTCCATTCCCAGCCTGGCAAATTCTCTTCTGAACTACTCCCTAGCCCCAGCCCCCATGAATTAAAAAATACAACTATTATTCATTTGTGTGGAGTTTTGTGGCACACATGTATAGCTAATGCAAAGCAGTTTCTTATTTCTCTCATCTTATAGATAGGAAAGCTGAGGTCAGTCATGTGCCCAGAACCACATAGTAAGTGTCACAGCAGAGAATCAAACAAATCTATTGCACAAGCTGCCCAGGTGTAGCCTAGAAAAGAGAGAGGGCATTTCACAGTGTAATGTCTCCAGGGCATATGTGTAAGAATTAATCCAGCAGCCCTCTCCTTTCCAGTCATAATAATATATAATGGGTGGGGGGAGGGGGGAGGGATAGCATTGGGAGATATACCTAATGCTAGGTGACGAGTTAGTGGGTGCAGCGCACCAGCATAGCACATGTATACATATGTAACTAACCTGCACAATGTGCACATGTACCCTAAAACTTAAAGTATAATAAAAATAATAATAATAATAATATATAATAGTGGCTTCACTGAGAACTTAGTATGTGCTAGACACCTTTCTAAGTGATTTGCATGTATTAATTCCTTTAATCCTAACAGTCTTATCACAGGTAAGTGTATTTAACACTCTCATTTTATAGAACAGAAAACCAAGTCTCCTATAGTAAACAATAAAACTGGGATCTGACCAAAGACAATGAGACTGCAGAGCCCACAGTCTGAACCACTAAACTCTGCTGCTCTGAAGCTGAAGCTCCAGCTTCTTCCACACCTCATCCTCCGCCCAGCATCCAGCTAACTCTAAAGTGTGTCCGGCAGCTGTGCTCCACCCTCCTGTGCCACCATCTTCACCCCAGGCCCCATCCCCCGAACCCTCATTCTGTTCCTGCTTCTCCCCCACCAGTTTTGGAGAGAGCTCACGCACGGAAGCCCCACCCATCTTCCCCACACTATAAGGTCACCAGGAGCCCCACCCATAGCATCTTCCTAGAGAAGTCCACCAGCCGCCCCGCCCCCTTCTCCCCCAACATCCCCCACCCACTGCCCCGCCCGCCATCTCCCCACCCCACCTCCTCCCACTGGTGTATGTAGCGGATGAGGCGGGAGAGGCGGAGCAGCCTCAGCAGGCTTAGGATCTTGGTGAAGCGAACGATGCGTAGGGCCCGTGCCGTTTTGTAGACCTCAGCGTCCAACCGTGGCTCCAGCTCCACCACTAGGAAGATGTAATCCACAGGGATAGAAGAGATGAGGTCAACCAGGAACCAGGTGCGCAGGTAGCGCGTGCGGATGGCCCGCGGTGCCAGCAGGATCTCAGCACCCTCCTCCACCACGATGCCCGTTCGGAAGTTGAGCACCAGATCCAGTAGGAAGAAAGTATCAGACAATACGTTGAAGACGATCCAAGGCGGGGAGTTCTCCTCCTTGAAGAAGGTGATGCCCACAGGCAGGACGATGAGGTTCCCCACCATCAGCAGCAGCATGATCAGGTCCCAGTAAAACCTAAGGTGGGAGTGAGATGAGGAGTAAGACCATGAGGATATTTCACCAGCCACTAGACTGACAGAAGATAGGCTGACATGGCCAAGAATGGGCAAAGATACACAATAACAGAATGACTGTTTACAGCTGTTGGGAGTATAAGTTGGGACCACCATTTGGGAAAATAGTTCAGCATTATCTAGTGAAGTTAAACATTTGCATTCCCTGCAACTCAGCAATCCCATTCCTACGTATAGACACATCCAAGGAAAATATGCGCTCCAGGAGATACACATAGGAATGTTTATAGCAGCATTAAATTTGAGAACAACACACATGTCCTTGTGTAGAAAAATGTAGACAGATAAGTAGATAAATACACTATTTATGGGCTGGCATACCATACAGCTGTGAAATTACCCAACTACAGCTACATTCAGCCCTATGGATGAATTTCACAAATGCAATGCTGAGCAAAAGAAGCAAGAAACAGCCTGGGCAACATAGTGAGACCTCATCTCAACAACAAATAAAAAAAATTAGCCAGGCCAGGTGGTGCACACCTAAAGTCCCAGCTACTCAGGAGGCTGAGGTGTACTCCAGCCTGACTGACAGAGCGAGACCCTGTCTCAAAAGAAAAGCTATGGCTCACGCCTGTAATCCCAGCGCTTTGGGAGGCCAAAGTGGGATCACTTGAGTCCAGGAGTTCAAGACCAGCCTGGGCAACATAGTAAGATCCTATCTCTACAAAAGTTAAAAATTAGGCCAGGCCTGGTGACTCATGCCTGTAATCCCAGCACTTTGGGAGGCTGAGACTGGCGGATCACCTGAGGTCAGGAGTTTGAGACCAATCTGGCCAACATGGCAAAACCTCGTCTCTACAAAAAATACAAAAATTAGCTGGGCATGGTGGCGAGAGCCTGTAACCCCAGCTACTCAGGAGGCTGAGGCAGGAGAATGGCATGAACCCGGAAGGCAGAGGTTGCAGTGAGCCGAGATCGCACCACTGCTCTCCAACCTGGGTGACAACAGTGAGACTCTGCCTCAAAGAAAAAAAGAAGAAGGCCAGGTGTGGTGGCTCACGCCTGTAATCCCAGCACTTTGGGAGGCCAAGATGGGCAGATCACAAGGTCAAGAGCTCGAGACCATCCTGGCCAACATGGTGAAACCCCGTCTGTACGAAAAATATAAAAATTAGCTGGGCATGGTGGTGCACACCTGTAGTCCCAGCTACTCGGGAGGCTGAGGCAGGAGAATCACTTGAACCCGGGAGGCGGAGGCTGCAGTGAACAGAGATCACGCCACTGTACTCCAGCCTGGGTGACAGAGCGAGACTCCATCTCAAAAAAAAAAAAAAAAAAATTAAAAATTAGCCAGGCGCTGGGTGCGGTGGCTCATATCTGTAATCCCAGCACTTTGAGAGGCCAAGGTGGGCGGATCGCCTGAGGCTGGGAGTTCGAGACCAGCCTGACCAACATGGAGAAACCTCATCTCTACTAAAAATACAAAATTAGCTGGGAGTGGTGGCACATGCCTGTGATCCCAGCTACTCAGGAGGCTGAGGCAGGAGAATCGCTTGAACCTGGGAGGTGGAGGTTGCCATGAGCCGAGATTGCGCCATTGCACTCCAGCCTGGGCAACAAGAGTGAAACTCTGTCTCAAAAAAAAAAAAAAAAAAAAAAAAAAAAAAAAATAGCTGGGCGTGGTGGCTCACGCCTGTAATCCCAGCACTTTGGGAGGCCAAGGTGGGCAGATCACAAGGTCAGGAGATTGAGACCATCCTGGCTAACACGGTGAAACCCCATCTCTACTAAAAAAATACAAAAAATTAGCTGGGCATGGTGGCGGGCGCCCGTAGTCCCAGCTACTCAGGAGGCTGAGGAAGGAGAATGGCGTGAACCCGGGAGGCGGAGCTTGCAGTGAGCCGAGATTGTGCCACTGCACTCCAGCCTGGGCGACAGAGCGAGACTCCGTCTCAAAAAAAAAAAAAAAAAATTAGCCAGGTGTGGTGGCGCGCACCTGTAATCCCAATCCCAGATATTCAGGAGGCCAAGGCAGGAGAATTGCTTGAACCTGGGAGTGAAGGTTGCCGTGAGCTGAAACCGCTCCACTGCCCTCTAGCCTGGGCGAGAGTGAGACTCTGTCTCAAAATAAATAAATAAATAAAATAAATAAATAAATAAAAATTTGCCGGTGTGGTGGCTCACACCTGTAATCCCAGCACTTTGGGAGGCTGAGGTGGGTGGATCACGAGGTCAAGTGTTCGAGACCAGCCTGGACAAAATGGTGAAACCCCACGTCTACTAAAAATACAAAAATTAGCCAGGCGTGGTGGCATGCGCTTGTAATCTCAGCTACTCAGGAGGCTGATGCAGAAGAATCGCTTGAACCCGGGAGGCGGAGGTTGCAGTGAGCCAAAATTGTGCCATTGCACTCCAGCCTGGGCGACACAGTGAGACTCCTTCTCAAAATAAATAAACAAATATAAAAATAAATAAATAAATAAATAAAATTACTCTTCCATCTACATACATATCCCTACTATATATCATTTACCTCACCATTGCTAAATATTTTTAAGGTTAAAAAAAAAAGCTAAAGTATCCTGTGCTAATCTCACAGCATTGCTGAAAACATTTACATGGAGACAATAGATGTGACAGTGTGGTACAGGCACTAGTTGGTATTATGACTCACTCACTCTTTATCCCCAGATTTCTGAAAAGGCTGCTGCTTCCCCCATCTCCAGTTATCTGCCCATTCTAGTCTAGGACCTCATGCCCTCCCCAGCCTTCTCCACCCCATTCCTCTTCTCCAACACAGTTGGACCCACGGATCCTGTTCCTCTGCTGAGGTTTGCTCATCCATGTCTCAGGGTGGGGTGGTCTATCCTGCCTTCCTCTGAATTGAGCTTTCCAGGGATGCCCTTCCCCCTCCACAGAACCTCAAACAGGGCTGCACACACAGAGAAGCTCCACAGGAGATCATGAAGCAGCAAGGCTTGAGTTCTGCATACCTTTCCTCCTCTGGCCTCCCTGTGTCCACTGGGACTCTGGCTGAGCACAGGCAGAGGCATGGGCAGGGGTGAGTGACATTGCTGTGGCAGACACCGTGGAAAGAAGAGGTCAAGAGGGAACTGTGTGAAGCCCTCATTCAGAGAATGGCACAGGAAAATCTCAGGGACTCAGTTACCTATGGTGGTTTTAATTCTAGGACACACCTAATCCCAGTGTCAACTCAGGAGCTAGCCCCTTCTGACTCGGACTGCAAAATCAATTTTCAGCCCTGAAAGAAACTTCCTCAAGTCCGGGCCTCTGGGAAGCCCCTTAGACTGTATGTTTTCAATAAACAAAAACCCTCGGCCATTCTTCTTTTCTCTCCTCGGCTGCTGAGGAGGAATCCTGTATTGTGAGACACTAAGAGAGGGGAGGGAAAGAGGGTTCGCCTAGCCATGAAAGCATCTTCACAGCCTGACTCACAGGTGGGTCACAAGCCTGGCGGGTGATGTAGTATAGAGAATGGAGAAGCACAATCAGAGGGATACCAGGCTTCTGGGGATCCGTCTGCGAGTGAACTGAGGGAAGAGAGTGAGATCCACAGGAGACTAGAAAAGGCGCACTGGCTGGGTGGGAACGAGGCAGCAAAGACAGGAGTGAAAGGAACAATGGGAGGAAGAGAGACATAGAGGGAGTGTGTATATATGTGGATTCAAGATAATGTCTGGGTCTACAACTGTATTTCGAGGCTCCAGATTCACACCTCTTCCTCTCTGCTTCTTTAGTTCCCCAGGTTAGGTGCTTTGCACACATCCCTGCCTCATCCAAGAGCTGTCCTTCATTTCCCCCAAGGACAGGGCTGCTGTCTTCCCCTAGCGACCTTGATGTAGAGGTACACCCTGACGGAGACTGTGAAATGGCCCCACCCCCACCCTCTGTTCCTTCTCTGGGAGTCACCTGGGTGGTGGTCCTGCCCCTGCTTTGCCGCCTCAGTCACTCTGAGTCTCGGCCCCGCCCCGCCGCCCCCGCCTTCAGCACTAGGGACAGCGACCAGAGCTGAGGTCTGGACCCCCCGCCCCCTTCAGCGTCCCTATTTTTCCTGGTAGTCTGTCATGCTGAACTAGGCAGGTGCTAAGGAGCGGGTGTGGGGATGGGAGATGGCGGAGCTCGGCTTCTCCCTCAGACTGGCCCCGATACTTAGAATATAATTTCCTAGATCTCCAGCAAGCAGGACTGGAGGAGGCAGGGGTCCCAAACTCTGGTAGTTCCTTTGGTCCGGATGGGGTCCCGGGTTCCTGAAAGAGGAAATCCAGGTCTCTGGAGATCCCCTGATGTCTGCTTGCCCCTTCTGGTGCCCCCAGCCTGTCCAGGCACGGAGGACCTCCGGCAGGGGATACCCGCCCAGGAATTCCCAGGCTAGACTGGTGCAAGTGACTCTCCCGCCCCACCAAGGGACCCCGGGCTGGAAATGAAGTGACCGTGGAGGGTGGGGCGGGCCGGGTCCCGGTGTCGCTGCCCGCGAGGGTGGGATTGATGTACCCTGCCCTCCCCGCCAAGCCCCCAATACCGGAAGTCGCTGTAGGGGTGGATGATCCAGGCCCCCGCTGACTTCACCCGCTCCTGCTCGATTTCCACTGCTTTGTGGCTGCCGAACACCCGAAGGGAGAACTTGTTGACCGTAGGCTGGAGCAGCGTCCCAAGGTGCCTCCTCTTAGGCTCAGGCCCAGATTTGGGGATCGGACCTGAGGCCGCGGTCGCAGGCGGGGGAGCAACGGGAGGCACCGCCTCCAGTCCAGGGGTCGCCCCTTCGCTGGCCCCCGCCGCCGGCCGCTGCTCTGCCTCCATGGCGCCCACCCCGCTTACACGCTCGGCCTCCTAGAGCCCTCTGTGGCCATCAGGTACCCGCAACCCCTCCAGAGCAGGAGTCGGCGCAGCCCCGCGGGCTCTAGCGGAGGCGTCGTAGGCTCGGAATCGCCGGCGCGCGGGGCGGAGGGGGTGTGTGCTAGACTGGCGGGCGGCGGGCGGGCTGCGCGGCGCCCCCTGGCGAGGGCCGCGCCAAGACCGGGCGGGGCTGGGACGCCGGGATCCTGGAGGAACTCCGAGAGGGGCGTGGCTTAGCAAAGAAGGCGGGGAGCGCAGCCTGAGCCAGGGAGAGGGCGTGGCCTAGCGTTGGCCTTTCATCCACTGAGAACCAGGGAGGAGGAGCCCCCTGCAGTGGCGGGAAAATCGGACGCGGGTTTGTAGCTTGAAGGACTTGGGAGGGAGAGGGATTGGGGACCAATGGAAGAAGTGGAAATGGCTTTTGGGATTCTTCTCCACTCTCGCCCAGGGACTTCTGTCCTGCTCCCGTCTTCTCTCAACACTGTCCTAGGCATATTCTTGTCTTTTGGTCTCCTCCGAACTGCTTCCCCTAGTATTTAATTTCCTAATTCATTCTGTCAGCCTTCACCAAGTGCAACTCTGCCTGTCATTGAGTGGATGCTGAGGAAACAAAAATGAATACAAAAGTCCTAGTCTTAGCATCTCCATGTAGTAATGGAAAACAACACAAAACAAAACAAAAACAAAGGCCTAGCCATAAAGCCACTGCTCATCTGTGCCCAACGACAGACAGGTAAATTGCAGTGCTATGCGAAGTGCTACAAATTCCTAAATATCTCAAATTCTCCCCTTCATCTCCAATTCTTATTACCACTGCCTCATTTCAAGCCCTCAGCATTTTTTCACTTAAATTACTTCGGAAACCTCTAAAAGAGTCTTCAACCTCTTCCAGGCCAATTCTTCTTCCATTCCCTGCCAGTTACCTTCCTAAAATCCAACTATGGCTGTGTCACTTGCTTGAAGCCCATCAAGCTTTCCCATCTTCTACAGGGGTACATTTAAGCTGCTTAGCATGGTGTACCAGGCCCAAAAAATTTGGACCTAGTTTCAACAGTCTCTCTTCTGACAGTCCCTCTCTTGAAAGCCACAGCCCCAATCATGCTGAAAGACTTTGTGCTGCCTTGTCTCTATGCTTTTGCAAATATTTTCTCTGCCTGGTATTCTCCTCCAATTCACTTTCGAACAGTTGGTTCAGATCTTGCTTTCTCTAGGAAACCTAGGAACACATTTCCAACTCTCCTTTCCTCAGGTAGGGTCTATTCTAGAGCTTTTTTACAGCAGCCAGGGCACCACTGTTTTGAGCAACTCATGTCACAGGGCTACCATTATTATTATTATTTTAGAGATGAGGTCACACTATGTTGCCCAGGCTGGTTTTGAACTCAGAGCTCAAGTGATCTTCCTGCCTTGGCTTCCCAAAGTGCTAGGATTACAGGCATGAGCATGGTCTCATTATTTATTTACAGATTTTCTCTCCTGTTAGATTGTGAAACTCTGAGAAACAGGAACCTTGCACCTGGCATAATTCTGGACACATAGTGGACATTCAGTAAATGCTTGTTGAATGAATTAATAATCTAGGAAAATGTTCCAGGAGGTGGAAGTGAAATCTTTACTTCTCTCTCCCCGACTCCTTCATTGATTGCTCTCCATGTTCTATTCCAGGGAACTTCTCTAAACTATGTCTGGTTATCTGATCTAACCTCCATCTGACCATCCTTCATCCAGCTCCTCTCTAATATTTCCTGACTTTATTTATTTACTCATTCTAGAGTCAGGGTCTTGCTCTGTTGCTCAAGCTGGAGTGCAGTGGTGTGATCATGACCCACTGCAGCCTCAAAGCAATCTTCCCACCTCAGTTTCCTGAGTAGCTGGGACTACAGGTGTGAGCCACCTTGCTCAGCTCCCTGACTTTAATATCGTTATTCTCAGATTATATTATTTCTCTTTCAATTGACCTTTCTGACCACTTCTCAATTCCTTCTGTAAAGTCTCTAACTCTTTCTCTTTCTCATTTTCTTTTTTTCTTTTCTTTTCTTTTTTTTTTTTTTTTTTTTTTGAGATAGAGTCTCACTCTGTCGCCCAAGCTGGAGTGCAGTGGCACGATCACGGGTCACTACAGCCTCAACCTCCCCAGGCTCAGGTGATCCTCCCACCTCAGCCTCCCGAGTAGCTGGGACTACAGGTGGGAGACACCATGAATGGCTAATTTTTATTTTTTATTTTATTTTATTTTAGACACAGTCTCACTCTGTCGCCCAGGCTGGAGTGCAATGGCACCATCTCGGCTCACTGCAACCTCCACCTTCTGGATTCAAGCGATTCTCGTGCCTCAGCCTTCCAAATAGCTGGGATTACAGGCACCTGCCATCACACCCGGCTAATTTTTGTATTTTTAGTAGAGACAGGGTTTCACCAGGTTGGCCAGGCTGGTCTCGAACTCCTGTGCTCAAGTGATCCACCTTCCTGGGCCTCCAAAACTGTTGGGATTACAGGCATGAGCCACCGCGCTTGGCCTAATTTTTGTATTTTTTTTTTTTTTTTTTTTTTTTTTTTTGAGACGGAGTCTCGCTGTCGCCCAGGCTGGAGTGCAGTGGCGCAATCTCGGCTCACTGCAGGCTCCGCCCCCTGGGGTTCACGCCATTCTCCTGCCTCAGCCTCCCGAGTAGCTGGGACTACAGGCGCCCGCCACCTCGCCCGGCTAATTTTTTGTATTTTTAGTAGAGACGGGGTTTCACCGTGTTAGCCAGGATGGTCTCGATCTCCTGACCTCGTGATCCGCCCGCCTTGGCCTCCCAAAGTGCTGGGATTACAGGCGTGAGCCACCGCGCCCGGCCTTGTATTTTTTTAAGAGTCTGGGTTTTGCCCTGTTGCCCAGGCTGTCTCAAACTCCTATGCTTAAGTGATCCACCCACGTTGGCCTCCCAAAGTGTTGGTATTACAGGCGTGAGCCACCTCGCCCAGCCTTCCTGTTCTTTTTTAAGATTTAGTAAACTGGCCAAGCGCCGTGGCTGATGCTTGTAATCCCAGCACTTTGGGAGGCCGATGGGGGAGGATTGCTTGAGCTCAGGGGTTCAAGACTAGCCTGGGTAACAAAGTGAGGCACTATCTCTACAAGAAAAAAAAAAATAGCTGGGCGTGGTGATGCGCGCTTTTTTTTTTTTTTTTTTTTTTTTTTGAGACAGAGTCTCGCTCTGTCACCCAGGCTGCAGTGCAATGGCCCGATCTCGGCTCACTGCAACCTCCGCCTCCCGGGTTCAAGCGATTCTCCTACCTCAGCCTCCTGAGTAGCTGGGATTACAGGCGCCCGCCACCATGCCCGGCTAATTTTTGTATTTTTAGTAGAGACGGGATTTCACCATGTTGATCAGGCTAATCTCGAACTCCTGACCTCGTGATCCGCCCGCCTCGGCTTCCCAAAGTGTTGGGATTATAGGCGAGAGCCACCGCGCCCGGCCCTAGTAAACTTGTATTTCTCACACATTATGTAAGCCACCTTAGGATACAGTTCTCAAGTAAGTCCCCCTTTTCGGCACCCGATTCTCCAACCCTCCATTGCTCAAACCTTTCCTCCATGGCTGTGTCCCCACCCCGAGTCGTGCATAACTTTTGTTGATGACAAAAGGTGGCAGACTTTTGTCCTGGGGATAGGTAGGTGAAGTGTTTTAAGAAATGGTTATTTTCAGGCTATGCAGAAGAATGAGACTTCACCATCAAGCCTCACTACAGTCAGGCTTGCAGAGCAGCGACACTGTATTGACAATGACAATCCTTTCTTTTAAACTCCAAACCTAACTAAGCCACACGTCTCCATGCAAAGGGTAAAAGATTGAAGACGGAGTGGGAAAGGACAGGAGGCGGGGCATAGCGGGCCTGGAAGGCTTCCAGCTTGTCCCTGTGGACCCTCCTCGCCCCTATGAACTTCCGCCCCCAGTACCTCCGAGGCTCTGACAGGCGGATGCCTGCCAACTACGTGAGCACGTGGTGGCGCGCGCGGTCCTGGGGGCGGAGCCCAGGGGGTAGCTGGGAAGCGACGCAGGACGTCGGTCCGTGCGTACGTGCTCGCTCACGGCGGCGGCGGCGGAGCGGAGAGGCCAGAGCCGGAGACCGAGCTGGGATCGGGCCCCGGGCGGGGGCGGTGCGAGCGGCGCCAAGCAGATCTTAGGGGCGGGGACGGAGCCGGGGCGGGCGGGACTGAAGCGGAGCCCGGGAACGGGGCGGGAGGTCCCAGGGTCCCGGGTTGGGGGGGTGGAGCAGCATTTCGTCGCCGCGGGGGTGCCGGGACTCCGGCCGCAGTGTCGCCGCCATCACGGACTTCCTGTGGGACAAGCGCACGGGCCTCGCCGCCAGAACGGTGAGCGCGCGGGTTGGCTGGCCGCGCGAAAAGATGGCGACCGCGGGGCGGGCGGGGTTAGGCTTGGGTTGGGGGCAAGGGACGGGGGCGAGATTTGGAGAGGAGGAGAGTTGAGACCTACGAAGCGACGGAGTAGGGAGATGAGGGGGAAGGAGGTCGGCCTGCGTTAGATGTACCAAGAAGACCTGTAGGAAGCTTGGGCGGAACCAGACTAGAAGGGATGATAGAGTAAGGATGGGAGTGGTTCCAGAGATGTGAAGGAGTGGAATATCAAAGTTGGACTCGGGTCCAATCAAAGCTGGAGGGGAGGAATACATCACCGTGTCACTTGGAACATGCAGGAAGAATTTGCCTGTAGGAGTTCTGGATTTTCTGAGTAAGAAAGGAAAAAGCAAAAGATTTCAAACTTGAGAAAGGTAGGCTAGTGATGTTTTGAGGGGACAGTGCTGTGAGGCCGTTTGATGGTAGTATGTGGTGAGATGGCATTTATGTGGCTATGCTGATTAGGATAACTATGCTGGGAAAATCTTGTGCTTGCAGCTTGGTATGCTACCGGCCCCAGTTACACCAAGAATGCATCAAATACCACCCTCCTCAATTTGGGGAGGTTGGGAAGAAGTGATACAGAATGGTGGTCAGACATCGGAATCATTAAACCTTTTGCATACGCGATTCTCATACACCCCCACCAAGACTTATGTCCCTGGGCCTGTTTCATTTTATTGTGCCTTCCTATTCTCATCTTCCTGGATTGTGACAGTGATTTTTCTCTTTTTTCCTTGAAGGAAAAAAAGGATTTGTGAACCATCCCATTCCAATTCCATTAACTGGAAGGTGGCCAGCTGTCAGCTAAGTAGGGCTGATATTAATTAAAAACCACTTACTGGCCAGGCGCGGTGGCTCACATCTGTAATCCCAGCACTTTGGGAGGCCAAGGCGGGCGGATCACCTGAGGTTGGGAGTTCGAGACCAGCCTGACCAACATGGAGAAACCCTGTCTCTACTAAAAATACAAAATTAGCTGGGCGTGGCGGCGCATGCCTGTAATCCCAGCTACTCGGGAGGCTGAGGCAGGAGAATCGCTTGAACCCTGCAGGCGGAGGTTATGGTGAGCCGAGATTGCGCCATTGCACTCCAGCCTGGGCAACAAGAGCAAAACTCCGTTTCAAAAAAAAAAAAAAAAACACAAGAAACAGTTGTTATCTACGTCTTAAGCACAAGAGTGGAGGGGCCAGATGGGATGCTGACTGTATTTTGTGGCCTACTACATTAAAACCTCTCAAGGGAGAGTTGGCCAAAGATGTGAGAGATGATTAAGTTAATTCAAGGGGCCCGACCCAGATCCCTGGAGCTGATAGTATTTGGCGTTTACCTGGTATATGTAGAAACCTGGGAGACTGGATTCCTACCCTCAGGACACTGATAGTCTACTTGAGGAGATGAGATGTACTCTTAATGAGTGTACAACATTTATCATAACTGTAAACCAAAGCTTTACTCTATTGACTTGTGAGGAACTCAGCATCACACAGATCTATATCTTAGATCCTGAACGGGGATACACTGTGGCAGTCTCCATCGGTCGTCATACACTTTGCTCTGTAGTGAACTGTGTCCTAGACCTGAAGGTCTTCATGGAGCTGTGTTTGAAGAAAATAAGGATAGAACACTTGAACTGGCTGGGTGCGGTGGCTCACGCCTGTAATCCCAGCACTTTGGGAGGCCGAGGCAGGAGGATCACGAGGTCAGGAGTTTGAGACCATCCTGGCCAACATGGTGAAACCCCGTCTCTACTAAAAATATAAAAATTAGCCAGGAGTGGTGGTGCGTGCCTGTAATCCCAGCTACACAGGAGGCTGAGGCAGGAGAGTTGCTTGAACCTGGGAAGTGGAGGTTGCAGTGAGCCGAGATTGTGCCACTGCACTCCAGCCTGGCCACACAGCGAGACTCTGTCTCAAGAATAAAATAAGAACACTTGAACTGAGGGGTGGGTAATGAGGGATGGGTTTGGGGGCTTTCTAGAGTTTCAGCCAGAGTTAGTAGGTGGCTGTACTCCAATAAGGAGGAATTGTAAGTACAGAGGAAGACTGAGGAAGTTGTGCCTGGTAAAAAGAGGCAGAAATAAGAGGGGAAAGCAGCTTAGCATCTTTGGAGCAGCCAGTCCTTGGAGGAGATTTCTGAAAACTCGAAACTTTCCTATTTCCGCTTTCCCTTGCCTTCCAGATGCCGCATCCTCGAAGGTACCACTCCTCAGAGCGAGGCAGCCGGGGGAGTTACCGTGAACACTATCGGAGCCGAAAGCATAAGCGACGAAGAAGTCGCTCCTGGTCAAGTAGTAGTGACCGGACACGACGGCGTCGGCGAGAGGACAGCTACCATGTCCGTTCTCGAAGGTGAGGCCTCAGGAAGAGATACTCAAACACAGGGTCACTCGCTCATTCCTTTGTTCAACAAATACTTATTGGTTATATGCTAAAACCATTGCCTTAAGTAGCTGGCTGAAGGTAATGTCGGGATAGATAACCAAAGAAGCCATTTGGGCTGCAGTGTTAAGTGTTAGAATACATAATGAGGAACTGAGGACGTACCCAGTGCGTTTGGTTGGAGTGGGGCAGGATGTTAATTCAGATAAAACATTGCAGAGAAAGCAACATCTGTATATGTCTGGAGGACAAGTAGAGTCAGGTGGGGGAAGTGTCTTTGGGCAGAGGGAAAGCATGTGCAAAGGACTGGGAGCTACAGGTAACTAATAAGCTAACAGATAAGACAAAGTTAGATCTTTGTGTTTTTAATTTTTTAAAAATTTTAAAATATCATTTATTTATTTTTGAGACAGAGTTTCACTCTGTTGCCCAGGCTGGAGTGCAGTGGCAAGATCTCAGCTCACTGCAAACTCTATGGCCCCAGGTTCAAGCGATTCTTGTGCCTCAGCCTCCCAAGTACCTGGGACTACAGGCATGCGCCATCATGCCTGGCTAATTTTTTTTTTTTTTTTTTGTATTTTTAGTAGAGACAGGATTTCACCATGTTGGCCTCAAACTCCTGACCTCAAGTGCTCCACCTGCCTTGGCCTCCCAAAGTGCTGGGATTACAGGCGTGAGCCACTGTGCCCGGCCCAGTTTTAATATTTTAGTGGTATGTTCAGTGGAAAGAATGGGTTAAGGATGGTTTAGAGCAAGGGGGGATTTCATTCAGGAAAGCTTGAGAAAAAAATGGCTCTTTGTTTCTTTGTATCACTGCAGCGGGAAAAAGGCCCCAATAGGGAGTGGTTCTGCAGATGCCTTTTCAGAGGTTTTGGTGACATGGCAGATGTGCTTGTTACCTCACTTCTCTGGTCCCTTGGTCCTCTCAGTGACTCAACAAGTGTCTGAGAACAGTTTTCTAGCATTACTCTTTGTCCTCACTAAGGCAGGACCTTGTCACAGGGTATGGTAGGGAATGTGATCTGAACAGATACACCTCATTGGTATTTGTTATCCAACAGCAGTTATGATGATCGTTCGTCCGACCGGAGGGTGTATGACCGGCGATACTGTGGCAGCTACAGACGCAACGATTATAGCCGGGATCGGGGAGATGCCTACTATGACACAGACTATCGGCATTCCTATGAATATCAGCGGGAGAACAGCAGTTACCGCAGCCAGCGCAGCAGCCGGAGGAAGCACAGACGGCGGAGGAGGCGCAGCCGGACATTTAGCCGCTCATCTTCGGTGAGTGCCAGCCCAGGCCCTTCCTCTCCCCACTCTTCTGCAGGCCCTCTAGGACTCTGGTAAGTGAGCAGTATCCTTGTTCTCAGCTGAACATTGGGGCATGAACACTGAGGTGGGCACTGAGTTTGCCTACTTTCTTGGAAGCTCTCCGACTCTTGAAGGGCCCTGGATCTGCTTTGGAGATGGATGGGCACGGAGCATTTGTGACCCCCAGTGCTCTCCCTGGCATGTTGGGCTTATTGTGTTGGGAGCAGCTTCTCCGCCCCAGCGGCCTCCACTCTTTAATGGGGACCTTGCTTGTGAACTGCCTTTTTCCCCCAAGCCCTGGGCTCTGTAGCCCCCTTGGCAGGCGGGCTTGGGTGGGGGCAAGGGGAGATCTGTGTCTGCCCGGAAGGGCATTGTGTAGAGCATGGGGTTGTGGGTGACATTGGCAACAACACCACTTCTCTGCTCTGCCCATGCCTCTCCCTGTTCCTGTTTTGGGTTTGGGGACTTGGGATTATGCGCCGCTCTCTCTTCTCACACCGATCCACCTTACTGCATCTGACGTGTTCCCTTCCACTGTCCCCCATCATCGTCTGTCCCCCCTGGCTGGGCGCCTGTGACCGGTGACCCCTCTACCACCCACCCCGCCTCCCTCCGGCCCCCGCTCCGACACCTGGCTTGCTCCGACCCCCCCTGCCCCCCGACAGCAGCACAGCAGCCGGAGAGCCAAGAGTGTAGAGGACGACGCTGAGGGCCACCTCATCTACCACGTCGGGGACTGGCTACAAGAGCGATGTACAAGCCAAATCGTAACAATCCTATAGCCTGTAATGGTCCCATAGCCATCCTAACGTCCCAAGCCAACCTGAGTCACAGCCTCTTGCCTTTTCTCAGTGGTGTTGTTTATCTGGGTGGTTTGAGTTGCTGTTGAGAATTGACCTCTGTTGTCCACTCCCAGCTCTCACGGCCCCTGGGTTAAAGGTGGTGGGAATCACGCAGGGGTTTTCTTCCCCTGTGACCATCTGTATCTGTTCCCCTTCCTTCATCTCCACCCCAGGTTGCTGTCCCCTTTTTTCTTCCAACTCAGCTCATTCCCCACCTTCTCTCCCTCCCTCTCCCCGACCCTGCTCTCTTTCATTTCAGATGAAATCGTTAGCACCTTAGGAGAGGGGACCTTCGGCCGAGTTGTACAATGTGTTGACCATCGCAGGTAACTGTCAGTCCCTCCCTACTATGTGGGGCTAAAGAGATGGTTGGGGTTATATGGGGCTTTTTTGCTAATTAACCTGAGGTAGAATTTCTTAGTCCCCCTACAGCCCTGTTCATTTTGAGACATTCTTGAGAACCCAGCAAAAGCCTCTCCTGCCAACTTACAGGGGTGGGGCTCGAGTTGCCCTGAAGATCATTAAGAATGTGGAGAAGTACAAGGAAGCAGCTCGACTTGAGATCAACGTGCTAGAGAAAATCAATGAGAAAGACCCTGACAACAAGAAGTAAGCAAGCAAGGAAGTATGTAGGGAGGCTGAGAGCCCCAACCCCTACACGGGAGAGACTTCTAGACCTGGTTTAGGCAGACAGGGGAGTCCTAGACCTTCTCATCCATTCATCTTTTGTTCATCATCTTAGAGTAGTAGAACATCAGGGTAGGAAAGGGGGGGGGCCCATGACATTCCTTAATCCACTCCCCTTGTTTTCAGGGAAGTTAGATTGCTCTGTCGTTTGACCCCAGCCTAGAATGGCTTCTGTAGAGATATACCCTGGACATAGCCCTAGGACTGAGCATCAACCTCATCGAACAATGAATTAAGCTTTTATAAGTAGAACTATGCTGATAAGGCCACAGACATTTATGCAGTAATATTTTGTTCACATACATTCACAGTCCAAAAATAGAATAAGGACTTTAAGCCAAGATATGAGGCCAGTAGGTATAAATAGGAGCCCAGTGGTAGCTAGTGGTGAATGAATATCAGGAGTTGGGCTGGGGTTGGGATTTAGGATGGACAGTTTGATGATTCAGGATCTATACTGTTTGGAGCTTGGCACTCCACAGCTCTTCAGCAAATAGTTTTTGAACTATTTAAAATGACGCAGGAAGATATTTTGAAACTTGGGCTGGGCATGGTGGCTCACGCCTGTAATCCCAGCACTTTGGAGGCCGAGGCGGGTGGATCACAATGTCAGGAGTTCGAGACCAGCCTGGCCAATATGGTGAAACCCCGTCTGTACTAAAAATAAAAAAATTAGCCGGGCATGGTGGTGGACAACTGTAGTCCCAGCTACTTGGAAGGCTGAGGCAGGAGAATCGCTTGAACAGGAGGCAGAGGTTGCAGTGAGCCAAGATCGCGCCACTGCACTCCAGCCTGGGTGACAGAGTGAGACGCCATCTCAAAAACAAAAAAGAAAAAAACCTGGCAGATAGTACCATTCTTCTTGGGTCTGGTAGAGGCTACTCCTTAGCTGAACTGAATTTTGGTGTTAGTACTAGCTGGCATGGTTTTACACAAGTATGTGGAATCAACAGCTATGAAGTACCTCCTTGTTGGATGGCTGATGGGCAGATGGGAGCTCATCAGACAACCCCCCTTCCCCCATCTCTCTTCTCAGCCTCTGTGTCCAGATGTTTGACTGGTTTGACTACCATGGCCACATGTGTATCTCCTTTGAGCTTCTGGGCCTTAGCACCTTCGATTTCCTCAAAGACAACAACTACCTGCCCTACCCCATCCACCAAGTGCGCCACATGGCCTTCCAGCTGTGCCAGGCTGTCAAGTGTGAGTGGGGTGGGCCGAAGTGGACTCTGGGGCAGTCCCTCCCTTCATTGGATCTCTCTGTCGGTTGTGCACTGGTGAAGCCCCTAAACAGTCAGCTGTCTGTTATCTGCAGTTCTTTGATTTACTGTCATCTTGAAACGTCTTCTGACTTAACTCCTTGACTGATGTCTTTATCGTCACTGATTGCTCTTACTCTACACCTAGCCTAGCAGCAGCTAGAAGAGAAAGCCTTTGGAATCAAAGCACTTAATTACCCTCCCCTTTTCCTTTCTCCCTTTCTTGGGAAAGCATCAGTCAGACAGCAAACATAAAGAGACAAAAATACACTCCTTAGGGTAAAGGCTTACATTTGTCTGGGATGAGATGTTCATTCACAGCAAAGGAGATGGGAACACAGAGTATGTAGTTCAGCTAAGGGGCAAGGTGGGGAATTCAAAGAAATATATCATTCCTCTGGAGTCATCAAAATAATACAGTTTCACAGAATTGAGTTAACATAATGCCAGCTAGACACATGTCAAAGTGTGTACACACTACAACTCAAAGCAAACTTTTTTTTTTTTACATCAGTTGAGCTACATATGTATCTTACATTAGAAAGAGCAGAGCTTCTTAGACCAGGCATTCCATTTAGACGTAGAGCAGAAAGCAGCCCTAGTGATTCTGGACCTGTCTCCTCACTGGCTTTGCCCTAGGTAACCAGGCCTGGGGTCAGCTGATACCAGTTAGCTCTGGCCACCTGCACCAAGCCTGACCTGGCCTTCTCCCCTACAGTCCTCCATGATAACAAGCTGACACATACAGACCTCAAGCCTGAAAATATTCTGTTTGTGAATTCAGACTATGAGCTCACCTACAACCTAGAGAAGGTAAGATGGATAGGGTCTGCCCTTGGTTACTGGGGGCAGGCAGCTGCACCACTTTGCCTTCTGCCGAGCCCTTTGTTTTCTCCCTTTTATTTCGTCCTCCCACATTTTCTCCCTGTCTGGCTCCAACTGGGTAAAACTAAATAGGTTGAAAGGGAGAAATCTCTTAAGAAGACTTAAATTGGGAGATAACTTGTACAGGGGACTTCAGATAACTTTCCAGTAGAGTGAAAGTTTTTAAGGTTCTTGGTTTGGACTTTATTTATTTATTTATTTATTTATTTATTTATTTATTTGAGACAGAGTCTCACTCTGTTGCCCAGACTGATGTGCAGTGGCATAATCTCGGCTCACTGCAACCTCTACCTCCCAGGTTTAAGTGATTCTCCTGCCTCAGCCTCTGGAGTAGCTGGGATTACAGGCACCCGCCACCACGCCTGGCTAGTTTTTGTGTTTTTAGTAGAGATGGGGTTTTGCCATGTTGGCCAGGCTGGTCTCGAACCCCTAACCTCAGGTGATCTGCCTGTCTCGGGCTCCCAGAATGCTGGGATTACGGGTGTGAGCCACAGTGCCTGGCCCGGACTTCTTTTTTGAGATGTGTATTTCTGTGAGGTAGGAAAGCTCGGCTCCTTTGACTAACTGGAGATAATGGAGATCTCAGACCTAAAGAAGCTCTCCCTCCTTTGACCCCTTTGCTACATGTTACATATTTTTAGAGAAACTCCTTTGCTACATGTTACATTTTTTCAGAAAAACCCATTTGCTACATGTTACATTTTTTCAGAAAAACCCATTTGCTACATGTTACATGTTTTCAGAATAACTATATATCTGGCACTTGAGTGTAGTCTTCAGATGCTTACAGATGTGCACGCTGTTCTATAATCATTTCTTAATCCTTTTGCTCCCCTACTTCTAAAAGTATTATGCTGGATGTGGTGGAAGCTGTAAAACAGGAATTTCCCAGGGCTTGTAAGGCCAGGCAGGAGATCACAGTACCTTTTTTAAGGCTCAGAAGCAATGTAGAGAATACTGGTGGAATCTCAGTCTGGGTGCAGAGGTTCATCCTCTTTCTCCTCTGCTCCTAGAAGCGAGATGAGCGCAGTGTGAAGAGCACAGCTGTGCGGGTGGTAGACTTTGGCAGTGCCACCTTTGACCATGAGCACCATAGCACCATTGTCTCCACTCGCCATTACCGAGCACCAGAAGTCATCCTTGGTAAGGGAGGGCAAGGCTGTCCAAGTGTGTGAGATGATGTGAGGGTGGGGCCACCTAAGCCTCATAACACCTTTTCCCTCCCATTCTCACCCAGAGTTGGGCTGGTCACAGCCTTGTGATGTGTGGAGTATAGGCTGCATCATCTTTGAATACTATGTGGGATTCACCCTCTTCCAGGTAAGTGATGGGATGTCTTACTTGACTGCCTGGCATTCTTCTACCTGGTTCCTTTGTTTTCTGCTGAGGACCTGCCTACTCAGTTCTCCACATTGCCTGCCTTCCTGGCAGCTGATCCTTAGCATGCCCTTTTCAGTCCCATGCTCAGTTCTGTTTTTGTTTCCCAGACCCATGACAACAGAGAGCATCTAGCCATGATGGAAAGGATCTTGGGTCCTATCCCTTCCCGGATGATCCGAAAGACAAGGTGAACCTTGAGGGGGCACTAGTTAACTCTTTTCCTTTTCTCTCCACAGAATTGGTCTATTTCACATCATTTTCTTTTTTCTTTGATACCTCCTCTCCCCCCAGTTACTTTCAGATGGGGAAATAAGGGAATTGTAACAAGGGTGACCTTCTGATTCCTCAACCTCCCCTTCCCCTCTAGAAAGCAGAAATATTTTTACCGGGGTCGCCTGGATTGGGATGAGAACACATCAGCTGGGCGCTATGTTCGTGAGAACTGCAAACCGCTGCGGGTGAGCTGGGCTCGGGATAAATAGTGCCCACCGTCCAGAAGTCACTTCCTTCTTAGGGTGGTTTGCCCCCTGGAATGCTCTTCACAAGCAGAGGGTTAGGAAAGGAGGGGAGGAAAGCTGAAAGAAGACATCTTTGGTCAACAGAGGAAACATAAGAGGGAGTGGTTTTGTGGAGGGAAGGAGGTTAGACAGCCTAACCTTGAGACAACCAGAGATCAAAGCAATGTCCTGGATTCTTTAGGTCAGACAGAAAAGAATAAACTACCTTTGAAGAGCTTACATTTTAATGAGGAACTAAAGAAGATTCATGAAGTTGACAAGGATATACAAGTAGAAAGAACTTTCAAAGATTATGGAGTAATTGTGCTAGTGGGAAGGTAGGTTGAGCTATAATATCAGAAACGTTGGTCCTGGTGTGGTCGTGGTTAGGTAGCCTTCAAATTGGTTGCAAGCAGAGCCTTGG
This sequence comes from Homo sapiens, assembly GCF_000001405.40. Taxonomy (NCBI): domain Eukaryota; kingdom Metazoa; phylum Chordata; class Mammalia; order Primates; family Hominidae; genus Homo; species Homo sapiens. The sequence goes on along the minus strand of NW_003315906.1, from coordinate 68,509 downwards.
TTCTCCAAGAATGAAAGGTAGGGTCTTGAAGAAGGCAGGGTTTGTAAGGCATCCTGCCTCACCTTTTTCCTGCCCTCCTCCACCAGCGGTATCTGACCTCAGAGGCAGAGGAACACCACCAGCTCTTCGATCTGATTGAAAGCATGCTAGAGTATGAACCAGCTAAGCGGCTGACCTTGGGTGAAGCCCTTCAGCATCCTTTCTTCGCCCGCCTTCGGGCTGAGCCGCCCAACAAGTTGTGGGACTCCAGTCGGGATATCAGTCGGTGACGATCAGGCCCTGGGCCCCCCTGCATCTTTTATAGCAGTGGGTGTCCAGTCCAGGACACTGGTGCTTTTTTATACAAGAGAACGAGCCAGAGTTCACTCCTTCCTCCTGGCTCTCTATATACCTGTGAATATGTGAAATAGTGTAAATATGAAAGAACTTGTACCTATCACTTCAACCCCTGCCTTGTACATAATACTATTCCATCCACACAGTTTCCACCCTCACCTGCCCCCTCATACGGAGTTGGATGGGGGCCGAGTGAGGTAACCAGGTGGCATCTACCCCATGTTTTATAAGGAATTTTGTACAGTCTTTGTGAAATAAAATAACGTGCTTCATTTGACCCCCATCCCTGGAGTTGGAGGTTTGGGAATGCTGGGGTGGAGGGATGAAACTATTGGCAAACTTTCTGAGTTTGGGTATGAAGGGAGTCCTCCTTACCCTCCAAAATGAAGCACAGCCAGGCTACCAGTTTATTTCCCCTGTCCACCTTATCATATGGGAGGGTAGTGATGGGTGGGGCAGCATTTCTTTCAGATTAAAACAGAGAAGTGTTATGAGGTGGCACTTCTCGGATGTGGAATTATGAGAGTTGGGAAAGATCTGACTCCTAGAGTCATTAGGCCGCGGCCCAGTATAGAGCCAGAAACTCAGGTTGAAAACGTGCTCAACCTGGCTCCTAGGGGGGATTGCCACGACCGGTCAGAAGGCTCCCGTCGTCCATCTCGGGAGACTAGGAAGGCCGGATTCCTACGCGAGGCCTGCTGGGAAGTGTAGTTCGTTAGTGGAAGGAAGTCACATGGAAGAGGGGCGGTAGTTGGTTGTGGGCACTGGGTTAGAGGTATCACGTGGGGGCACTTTCGTCTTAGCTTTTGGACAAGACGCAGGCGCAACCCACGGCTGCTGCGGGGATCCTTGTGGCCCTTCCGGTCGGTGGAACCAATCCGTGCACAGAGAAGCGGGGCGAACTGAGGCGAGTGAAGTGGACTCTGAGGGCTACCGCTACCGCCACTGCTGCGGCAGGGGCGTGGAGGGCAGAGGGCCGCGGAGGCCGCAGTTGCAAACATGGCTCAGAGCAGAGACGGCGGAAACCCGTTCGCCGAGCCCAGCGAGCTTGACAACCCCTTTCAGGTGACTTGCGCCAGTCGGCCTCTTTTGGGCGGTCAGGTTGATTCTTCCCGGTTCTGTAGGGTCGGGCTAACTTGTATCCCCATTTGTGACATTTGATCCTGGGAAGAGCCGCCACGTGGGGTGACAGTGACTCCAGACCAGTGAGCACTCTGGGGGGCGGGCCCTGCCCCTTAATGGGCTGGTGCTGGCAGTGTTGGATGATGGATTTGAGGTAAATGTTGTCCCAGTCCTGGGACAACGGCGTGGCCCCGAAGGTGCAGTACTTGGAGCCACAGGCAGTTTGGGAATGGTCCCTGGGAATTCCCCTAGGTGGCACTGGGTGCCAGCTGAGACCCGGGTCTCTGCCCTCAGGACCCAGCTGTGATCCAGCACCGACCCAGCCGGCAGTATGCCACGCTTGACGTCTACAACCCTTTTGAGACCCGGGAGGTGAGCTACTGGAGAGCATAGGAGTTCAAGGAAGGGAAGGGTTTGCCAGTGAGACAAGTTAGCTTGGGTACAGGGGACTTTTCTGCATGCACAGGAAGGAAGAGGCACTGTGATCTTAGTTCCCTGAGAGAGGCTAGTCAGCCATGGGATGCCTCATCCTTCTAGGGCCACCAGGGCCACCAACCCAAATGGTTTGAGCTCTAAAAGTCAGTCCTGGGAAGATCTGGAGGCTGGCAAGGCCTTAACCAATGTTCTGTATGGGAAGGCTTTCTTGAAGAAAATAAAGGTTGGGGCTGGTTGGAGTTTAGGTTAGGTGTGCAGTTTGAAAGCAAGGAATGAGGAGGACTACACCTGTTTGTCCCACTGGATTAGAAGATGGTGAGTTGTAAGAATTTAAGGGGTTTTCATGGTACTTAAAACTTAAAAAAAAAAGCCAAGCATGGTGTGCATGCCTGTAATCCCACTTGGGAGGCTGAGGTGGGAGGATTGCTTGAGCCCAGGAATTTGATGGAGACCATCCTGGGCAACAGCGAGACCCCCATCTCTTGAAACGTTTTAAAAATTGGCTAGGTGTAGTGGCACATGCCTGTAGTCCTTGCTACTTGGGAGGCTGGGATGGAAAGACTGCTTGGGCCCAGGAGTTTGAGGCTTCGATGAGTGATGATTGCACCACTGCACTCCAGCCTGGGTGGCAGAGAGACAACCCCACACTCCATCCCCAGAAGAAAAGAAAAAAAAAAAACACAGTTAAGTGGGGAGATATGGTAAATGAGTGATTTGAGTCCTCACTAAGGAATTGGATATGAGGGATGATAAGGCTGCTACAGGTCATCATAGAGTTCTCTGACAGAAATTCAACAGAAGAACTAGCTTCCTAACAAATGGGGGAAAGGCTGCTTCCTTACATCATGAGTTCTGGGTCTAAAGGTATTCAAGCAGACTCTAGATTCCTGTGTTATGAGGGACTAGATGATCACTAAGGTCTTTTCCTCAACAGCCACCACCAGCCTATGAGCCTCCAGCCCCTGCCCCATTGCCTCCACCCTCAGCTCCCTCCTTGCAGCCCTCGAGAAAGCTCAGCCCCACAGAACCTAAGAACTATGGCTCATACAGCACTCAGGTACAGGAGGTGTGCAGGTGAGGGCTGGGGAGAAGGGCCAGTCCTGGGGCCCAGGGCTCACATCTCCGTCTGCTCACACTGGGCAGGCCTCAGCTGCAGCAGCCACAGCTGAGCTGCTGAAGAAACAGGAGGAGCTCAACCGGAAGGCAGAGGAGTTGGACCGAAGGGAGCGAGAGCTGCAGCATGCTGCCCTGGGGGGCACAGCTAGTAAGTAATAGAGTGGGGAAGAGCATCTGAGAGTTTGGGAGGAGCAAAAACAGGTCTTAAGGGCCTGGGCTCGGCTGGGTGCGGTGGCTCACACCTATAATCCCAGCACTTTGGGAGGCTGAGGTGGGCGGATCACGAGGTCAAGAGATCGAGACCATCCTAGCCAACATGGTGAAACCCTGTATCTACTAAAAATACACACACACAAAAATTAGCTGGGCATGGTGGCGCGCACCTGTAGTCCCAGCTACTCGGGAGGCTGAGGCAGGAGAATCGCTTGAACCCGGGAGGTGGAGGTTGCAGTGAGCCGAGATAGCGCCACTGCACTCCAGCCTGGTGACAGAGTGAGACTCCATCTCAAAAAAAAAAAAAAACACAAACCTGGGCTCTGGAGTCAGACTGCTGAGTTTGAATTTTAGAGATACTGCTTACTAACCATGAGCTTTTAGGGAAGTTACTTAATCTTGAATGCCTCAGTTTCCCTATTTATAAAATGAAAACCACGTTTGCATCCGTTTGACAGGGTTGTTGTGAAGGTTAAACAAAATATATGTGAAGTACTTGGTACAGTGCTTAGATGTTTTAAATAATAATAAACAGTATTAATTTTTCCACTCTCACTTGTCTCCTTGGACCCCAAATTGGAGATAAAAGAGAGGATCCAGGGCTGGGTATGGTGCCTCACGCCTGTAATTCCAACACTTTGGGAGGCCGAGGCAGGCAGGTTGCTTGAGCTCAGGAGTTAGAGACCAACCTGGACAACATAGTGAGATCCTGCCTCCAAAACATTAATGAAAAAAATTAGCAGGGCATGATGGTACCTGTCTGTAGTCCTAGCTCCTCAAGAAGCTGAGGTGGACGGCCAGGCGCCGGGGCTCATGCCTGTAATCCCAGCACTCTGGGAGGCCAAGGCGGGTGGATCACCTGAGGTCAGGAGTTCAGGACCAGCCAACATGGTGAAACCCTGTCTCTACTAAAAATACAAAAATTAGCTGGGCGTGGTGGCATGTGCCCATAATCCCAGCTACTCAGGAGACTGAGGCAGGAGAATTACTTGAACCCGGGAGGCGGAGATTGCACTGAGCCAAGATCACACCACTGCACTCCAACCTGGGCAACAAGAGCGAAACTCTATCTCAGGAGAAAAAAAAAAAAAAAAAAAAGCTGAGGTGGGAGGGTTGCTTGAGCCCAGGAGGTTGAGGCTACAGTGAACCATGATCATACCACTACCTTCCAGCCTGAACAACAGAGACCCTATCTCAAAAAAAAAAAAAAAAAAAAAAGAGAGGATCCAGGGATGGAGAGAAGGGGGAGTGATTCCTTTGTTGGTCTCTGTTTTACTTCTGGGGTCCACCTGTTTTTTTGTGCCTTACAGCTCGACAGAACAATTGGCCCCCTCTACCTTCTTTTTGTCCAGTTCAGCCCTGCTTTTTCCAGGACATCTCCATGGAGATCCCCCAAGAATTTCAGAAGACTGTATCCACCATGTACTACCTCTGGATGTGTGAGTAGTGAGAAGCCTTTTGGAGGAAGTTACAGGTAGATCTCTTAACTGCCCTGGGGTCCGCTCACCAAGAACCAAACACTTCACCTCTATTTAGAACTCACCAGCCTGCTAGCAAATGTTCTTGCCCTCTCCCCACTTTTTATTGTCCATATGCAGGAATATATTTTGAATTCTTTAGATGTCTTTGGGCTGGGTGCAGTGGTATACGCCTGTAATCCCAGCACTTTGGGAAGCTGAGGTGGGTGGATAACCTGAGGTCAGAAGTTTGAGACTAGCCTGATCAACATGGAGAAACCCCATCTCTACTAAAAATACAAAATTACCTGGGCGTGGTGGCACATGCCTGTAATCCTAGCTACTCAGGAGGCTGAAGCAGGAGAATCACTTGAACCCGGGAAGTGGAGGTTGCAATGAGCCAAGATCATGCCATTGCACTCCAGCCTGGGCAACAAGAGCAAAACTCCATCTCAAAAAAAAAAAAAAAAAAAAAAAAAAAAAAAAAAAGGCCGGGCACGGTGGCTCACACCTGTAATCCCAGCACTTTGGGAGGCCCAGGTGGGCAGAACATGAGGTTAGGAGATCAAGACCATCCTGGCTAACACGGTGAAACCCCGTCTCTACTACAAATACAAAAAATTAGCCGGGCGTGGTGGCGGGTGCCTGTAGTCCCAGCTACTTAGGAGGCTGAGGTAGGAGAATGGGCGTGAACCCAGGAGGCAGAGCTTGCAGTGAGCCGAGATCCTGCCACTGCACTCCAGCCTGGGCGACAGAGCGAGATTCCATCTCAAAAAAAAAAAAAGAAAAAAAAAAATTAGCTGGGCGTGGTGGCGGGCGCCTGTAGTCCCAGCTACTCTGGAGGCTGAGGCAGGAGAATGGCGTGAACCGGGGAGGCGGAGCTTGCAGTAAGCTGAGATTGCGCCACTGCACTCCAGCCTGCGCGACAGAGCCAGACTCCGTCTCAAAAAAAAAAATGTCTTTGCAAGGGGATCACACATTATTGACATTTGCTTTCTCCATCTCCCCTGTTGAGGATTCCATGAAGGCAGCAGCTGCCTTCATTTCCTTACTCTGCCATGTTTGGTGAATATTATAGGATGAGCATAGATGGGAAGGAGCCTTCATTGCAGTCCAGAAGGGCTCCTCATCCTGTCCCTCTGCCCCTTAGGCAGCACGCTGGCTCTTCTCCTGAACTTCCTCGCCTGCCTGGCCAGCTTCTGTGTGGAAACCAACAATGGCGCAGGCTTTGGGCTTTCTATCCTCTGGGTCCTCCTTTTCACTCCCTGCTCCTTTGTCTGCTGGTACCGCCCCATGTATAAGGCTTTCCGGTAAGTGTGTTAGTGGTGGGAGAGTGATGGAGACCTGGGATGGGCCCCACGTCTGCCCATCCTTCAGCTCTAATTCTTCTCCCACCCTCCCCATTTTTTTCCTCTTTGTAGGAGTGACAGTTCATTCAATTTCTTCGTTTTCTTCTTCATTTTCTTCGTCCAGGATGTGCTCTTTGTCCTCCAGGCCATTGGTATCCCAGGTTGGGGATTCAGGTTTGTGAGGCTGTTATCCACCCTCACCTTTCCCTCTAGATCCAGCCAGCACTGGGTGCTGGGATAGGAGTTGTTCAGAAAAAGGAAATGTGGTTTTAATCCTTGGGAGGTACTAGTTTAATGAGATACAAGACATACTTCCAGGATAGAGCGCAGACAGCACTCTTGACACATATAGATTGAAGGGAAGAATGCTGCATTTGGCCAATCTAAGGTGGCTTCCTGGAGGAGGCATAGAACCATGGTTGAAAGGAGGAAGAAGAATCCCCAGATGAGTGCCTGGAAGAGCTTGGAGAGCTCAGGGCTAATGGTTCAGAAACTGGAATTAAACTATGAAGAGATTAGATACAGTTTGGGATTGTGGTGCTTGGAATGCTGCTCGATTGACAGGGAGCCACTGCTGATGGGAAGGGTAGGAACAGGGGATGCTGGTGACATAACCAGTGGAGAAGCTGAGGAGCCCCTCTTCACTGGTACATCCTTCCCTTTACAGTGGCTGGATCTCTGCTCTGGTGGTGCCGAAGGGCAACACAGCAGTATCCGTGCTCATGCTGCTGGTCGCCCTGCTCTTCACTGGCATTGCTGTGCTAGGAATTGTCATGCTGAAACGGGTGAGGGCTGTGTCGAAGGTGGGGCCGGGATGGTGAGATCATGGGTCCCCAGGGGCGTGGGTGGAACATTCAGGAGCAACTGGCACAGGTCAGGCTGCTGGGTTGTTCTCAGCTAATGGACCTCTGGGGTGTGTGTTTCTGTGTGTGAGTGTGTGTGCTGGGCAGCAGGCTGCTGAGTGGTAGTGATGCTGTTAGGCTGGGGTGGGGAACCAGTGGCTGGAATGGGCGGTAATGTCTTTGTCCTCTACTTGCAGATCCACTCCTTATACCGCCGCACAGGTGCCAGCTTTCAGAAGGCCCAGCAAGAATTTGCTGCTGGTGTCTTCTCCAACCCTGCGGTGCGAACCGCAGCTGCCAATGCAGCCGCTGGGGCTGCTGAAAATGCCTTCCGGGCCCCGTGACCCCTGACTGGGATGCCCTGGCCCTGCTACTTGAGGGAGCTGACTTAGCTCCCGTCCCTAAGGTCTCTGGGACTTGGAGAGACATCACTAACTGATGGCTCCTCCGTAGTGCTCCCAATCCTATGGCCATGACTGCTGAACCTGACAGGCGTGTGGGGAGTTCACTGTGACCTAGTCCCCCCATCAGGCCACACTGCTGCCACCTCTCACACGCCCCAACCCAGCTTCCCTCTGCTGTGCCACGGCTGTTGCTTCGGTTATTTAAATAAAAAGAAAGTGGAACTGGAACTGACATCCCCGTTTCCTGAATCTTCATTGGGAATTAGGCCTTATGAAAGAGAAAGGAGAGTGTGGAGTGAGGTGGGAAGGTCGGACCCGGCTTTAGTGTAAACTGGGAGATATGAGGGGCGGGGCGGTGGAGCCCGAGTGGCTGGCGCAGGAAGGAGGTGGGAAGTCCACGGAAACGCGAAACCCGGAGACGCCAGGGAGCCCTGCTCCCCACCCCTCTCCATTAATGACGGGGAAGAGCCACCGCCTCTGCCGGGAACGCCAAGGAATACGCGGGCCTGGAGCCTGAAAAGCTGGATGGGGCTCAAGTGGAGGCCCAAAGGATCACTAGCAGCCTAGCCAGGGTCCAGAGCGAGGCAGGGACTGGAGGAGCGCTTATCCGACTGCCTCGCCCTGCCGCGGGATCCCCCAACCCCGACAGGGTCTCAGTCCCGAACTACAACTCCCGGGGTGCACCGCGCCGGCCCTCGCCGCCATGCCCCTCCTTCCCGCACCATCCCCATTCCCATCCCCCTTCTCTAGTCCCCGACCTGCGGCAGCCGGAGCTCGGGGAGCGGAGCGTGGTGGGGAGGGGAGCGGGACAGGCGACACAGGAGACAGCGGCGCCGCGGCCTCTCCCCACCAGGCGGCCCCGGATCCTACTGGACGCCCTGAGGGCACACCGACCGCGCCTCTAGAGTCACCCCACGCCGACCCCTCCCCTCTTCTCTAGACTTATTTCCATCCTTCCCGCTTTTACCCTCCCCACCCCTCCCTGGGCTCCAGGCCGCCGCCCCCTCCTCACTCCTGGACCGGCCCTTCTCGGTGCCCCTCTTCCCTAGGGAGATGCGATGAGCCGGTGCCCCCGCGTCCTCATCGTCGCCCCGGGCACGGTGCCCGTCCAGTGCCCGTGGTGGGGAGGGAGCACTCCGCGGTCCCTCCGTGACGCCCCTCGCTTGGCCCCCCCCACAGCTGGCGTCCCTCGGCCATGCCCCAGGGGACCCAGCCAGGGGGTGGGCTCTAGAGCGAGTGGGGTGGAGAGGAGAAAGGACGGGGCCTTGGGCGCCTCTGAGATGCTCCCAAGTGCCAGGGAGGGCCGAGCGAGGCGCAGGCAACCGGGCAGCAGGCATGATGCCCTCGCCTAGTGACTCCAGCCGCTCGCTGACCAGCCGGCCCAGCACCAGGGGCCTTACCCACCTCCGCCTCCACCGACCCTGGCTGCAGGCCCTGCTTACGCTGGGGCTGGTCCAAGTGCTCCTGGGCATCCTGGTGGTCACCTTCAGCATGGTGGCCTCTTCCGTCACCACCACCGAGAGCATCAAGAGGTCCTGCCCGTCTTGGGCTGGGTTCTCGGTGAGTTGGGTGCACAGTTGTTGGGTGGGGGAGGCTCCTCGGGCCCCACCCTCCACACCAGCTGCAAGTCCACATGCTTGCCTCTCCTCCCTCTCCTGGTCCTCTGCCTCCTTACAGGGCTGGGTGCATCCTGTGGTGAGGGGCTCACTCAGGAGCCTCCCCTGCCAGGCTGAGCCTGTGCCCACTCTGTCCCCAGCTGGCGTTCTCCGGGGTGGTTGGCATTGTGTCCTGGAAGCGGCCATTCACTCTAGTGGTAGGTGCCAGGGTCCAGTGCCCACTGGGAGGCAGGTGCCCAGCACGCAAGGGGAAGCCCATTTATGTCCTCAAGAAGGGAACTGGCTCCCCAGTTGGTGCCAGCCGGGTGGGCACGAAGTGTCTGTGAAGGAGGGGGACTCTGTCCGTGGCAGAGGAGTACTCATGAGGGTCCCAGCCCTGAGTCTGCACCCTGTTTTCCCCAGATCTCCTTCTTCTCCTTGCTTTCGGTGCTCTGTGTCATGCTTAGCATGGCTGGCTCTGTTCTCTCCTGTAAGAATGCTCAACTGGCCCGAGACTTCCAACAGTGCTCTCTGGTGAGATTTGAGGAGGGAGAGCTGGAAAGAACTGGCTGGGGGAGGTGTGCAGGACACCTCAGTTTGTCCTGACTCAGGCTGCCTCACCCTCCCTGCTCCACTCAGGAAGGAAAGGTCTGTGTGTGCTGTCCCTCTGTTCCCCTCCTCCGGCCCTGTCCAGAGTCGGGGCAGGAACTGAAAGTTGCCCCTAACTCCACCTGTGATGAAGCCCGAGGGGCCCTCAAGGTGAGCTTGCACCCTGCAAACATCCTCCTGGTTCTCACTCTTGCCTCCCCTGCTGGGGTACTCACAGGCCCATAATGTGTGGAACTTAGCCGTCTCCTGACTCCTCTCCTCCTTTCCCTTCCCCAGAACCTGCTCTTCAGCGTCTGTGGGCTCACCATTTGTGCCGCTATAATCTGTACACTCTCTGCTATTGTCTGCTGCATCCAAATCTTCTCCCTGGACCTCGTGCATACGGTGAGAAGGGAGCAGGGGCCAGGGCACGCAGGTATGGTGGGGGCAGGGGTGTGTGTGCTGAGACTTGCCTGAGGGAACAATGGCTACAGATCTGGCTTTTGAGCACCAGGGGCTATGGGTTATCTATTATCCTCATCTATTGGAGGAATGGATGTTTAGTGGGGAGGATGAGAAGGGGAGATGGCAGGGAGTGAGTTAAGTATGTGATGCTGGTCTGGGACCAGGAGAGGGTGCTTTAGAGAATGGGACTGGATGGTGGGGTAGAGTCAAGAAGGTCCTATGCTGGGCACGGTGGCTCATTCCTGTAATCCCAGCACTTTGAGAGGCCCAGGCAGGCGGATCACCTGAGGCCAGGAGTTCAAGACCCACCTGGCCAACATGGCGAAACCCTGTCTCTATTAAAAATACAAAAATCGGGCCGGGCGCAGTGGCTCGTGCCTATAATCCCAGCACTTTGGGAGGCTGAGGAGGGCAGATCACCTGAGATCAGGAGATCGAGACTATCCTGGCTAACATGGTGAAACCCCATCTCTACTAAACATACAAAAAATTAGCCAGGCGTGGTGGCGGGCGCCTGTGGTCCCAGCTACTCGGGAGGCTGAGGCAGGAGAATGGCATGAACCTGGGAGGCAGAGCTTGCAGTGAGCTGAGATAGTGCCACTGCACTCCAGCCTGGGCGACAGAGCAAGACTCCATCTCAAAAAACAAACAAACGAAATACAAAAATTAGCCAAGTGTGGTGGCGGGTGCCTGTAATCCCAGCTACTTGGGAGTCTGAGGCAGGAAAATTGCTTGAACCGGGGAGACAGAGGCTGCAGTGAGCTGAGATGGTGCCACTGCATTCCAGCCTGGGCGACAAGAGCAAGACTCCGTCTCAAAAAAAAAAAAAAAAAAAAAAAAAATATATATATATATATATATATATATATATATACACACAAAATTACAAAAATTAGGCTGGGCTCCGTGGCTCATGCCTGTAATCCCAGCACTTTGGGAGGCCAAGGCAGGAGGATCACCAGATATCAGGAGTTTGACACCAGCCTGGCCAACATGGCGAAACCCTATCTCTACTAAAAATACAAAAATTATCCGGGTGTGGTGGCGGGTGCCTGTAATCCCAGCTACTCGGAAGACTGAGGCTGGAGAATCGCTTGAACCTGGGAGGCAGAGGTTGCAGTGAGCTGAGATGTAGCCATTGTACTCCAGCCTGGGCGACAAGAGTGAAACTTCGTCTCGAAATAATAATAATAATAATAATTAGCTGGGCATGGTTGCACACCCTTATAATTCCAGCTACTCAGGAGGATGAGGCATGGGAATTGCTTGATCTTGGGAGGTGGGGGTTGCAGTGAGCTGAGATCGCGCCACTGCACTCCAGCAACAGAGTCAGACTCTGTCTCAAAAAAAAAAAGAAGGTCCTAGATGGAGGTGAGGCTAAAGGGTGGACATTCCTGTGAAGACACAGAATGTGTGGAGCTTCTGGATGGAGGTGGGGCCATAAAGAGGAATTTGTGGGTGGGCAGGGCCAGAGCTAGAGGTACAGGGTGAGCGTGGGGTTAAGGAGAGCTGATTTTGGGTGAGGGAGGGGCCAGAACAAGAGCTTCTCTCAGGGGATAGGGCCAGAAAAAATAATGTAGATGAGAGAGGAGTTTGGGGGCCCAGGAGGAGCTGTATTCCCAGAATCCAGACTTGCTGACCTGCTCGCTTCCCCAGCAGCTGGCCCCTGAGCGGTCAGTCTCAGGCCCACTGGGACCTCTGGGCTGCACGTCCCCGCCCCCAGCCCCTCTCCTACACACCATGCTGGACCTGGAGGAATTTGTCCCGCCTGTGCCCCCACCGCCCTACTATCCCCCAGAGTATACCTGCAGCTCAGAAACAGATGCACAGAGGTAAGGCCTGGTGGGGTCTTGCTGGGGGAGCTAAGGAAGGGGACTGGGGCTGGGCCTGGATTGCTGGAGAGAGGGATCTTTGTGGAGGGGGAATTATTTCTCCTACATTGACCCTCTTCCTCATCTGCCAGCATCACGTACAATGGCTCCATGGACAGCCCAGTGCCCTTGTACCCTACCGATTGCCCCCCTTCTTATGAGGCAGTCATGGGACTACGAGGAGACAGCCAGGTGAGAGCACAGCACGGCTTGGGGCGGGCTGGGGAGCCGGGTTGTAGCCTGGAAAGCTGAACAGGCTGTAGCCTCTGGATAAAGATAGTAACAGTGGTCAAGGTCTTTACAGCACCAGCATGCCCACTGTTGCCTTTGATCTTCCCTAGAGCCTGGTGAGGTGAGTGGGTTGGAAGCTATCATTTCTGCCATACAGACGTGGAAGCTGAGGCTGCACAATTAAGTGACTTGTACAAAGGGACAAGGCTGGTCTGGAATCTAAGTCTCCAGAGCTCTGTCTAGCACATGGGGGTGTTCAGTGTGTAGGGCTGAACCCTTGACCCTGTGTCTTCTGCAGGCCACTCTCTTTGACCCTCAGCTTCACGATGGCTCGTGCATCTGTGAACGAGTGGCCTCCATTGTAGACGGTGAGCAGGGCGTAATGAGGGGTGGACAAGGGCGGGGCTGCCAGGGATAGCTGGGGTGGGTAGAGACAATAGAAGGGGAAAACAAGGCGGAGTTGGTGGTTTGGGGACATAGGAGGGCTGTGGCAACTTGGAACCCTGGACTTATTTTTCTCCTCTGAGATAAAGCTGGAGGCACAGTGGCCCCTAGAGGCTGGGCTTGGGAGAAGAGGAACTGCCTGGGCAGGGCTAGGCCAGGCCAGGCTGGTGCTACACAGCGCCCCCTGCCGCCCACAGTGTCCATGGACAGCGGGTCTCTGGTGCTGTCAGCCATTGGTGACCTCCCTGGGGGCTCTAGCCCGTCGGAGGACTCGTGCCTGCTGGAGCTGCAGGGCTCCGTGCGCTCCGTGGACTACGTTCTCTTTCGCTCCATCCAGCGCAGCCGTGCCGGCTACTGCCTCAGCCTGGACTGTGGCCTGCGGGGCCCCTTCGAGGAAAGCCCCCTGCCACGGCGCCCCCCACGGGCTGCCCGCTCCTATTCCTGCTCTGCCCCTGAAGCTCCACCCCCACTGGGTGCCCCCACAGCTGCCCGCAGCTGCCACCGGTTGGAGGGCTGGCCGCCCTGGGTGGGACCCTGCTTCCCCGAGCTGAGGCGGCGGGTCCCCCGGGGAGGGGGCCGCCCAGCCGCAGCCCCGCCCACCCGAGCCCCGACTCGTCGCTTCAGCGATAGCTCAGGTTCCCTCACCCCACCGGGGCACCGGCCTCCTCATCCGGCATCCCCACCACCGCTGCTGCTGCCACGGTCCCACAGCGACCCAGGCATCACGACCTCCAGTGACACTGGTGAGCCCCCTCCCCGACTGCCCAGGCTCAGGAGAGGGTAGGCACTGGGAGTTAGGTGGCCAGTGATGCCCACCAGGATTGGGGCACAGTTGAGGTCCCTGAGGAGGAAGAAAGGGTGAGTTCACTCCTCTGGTAGACACTTCTCAGGTACTCACCTCCTAGGGACAGAACATCCATAGCTTAGCAGCTAAAAAAGGAGAATTTTTTTTTTTTTTTGAGACGGAGTCTCTGGCTCTGTCGCCCAGGCTGGAGTGCAGTGGCATGATCTTGGCTCACTGCAACCCGTTTCCCGGGTTCAAGTGACTCTCTCCTGCTTCAGCCTGCCGAGTAGCTGGGACTACAGGTGTGCGCCACCATGACCGGCTAATATTTTTTTTTTTTTTTTTTTTTGAGACGGTGTCTCGCTCTGTCACCCAGGCTGGAGTGCAGCCGCGCGATCTGGGCTCACTGCAAGCTCCGCCTCCCGGGTTCACGCCATTCTCCTTCCTCAGCCTCCCGAGTAGTGAGTAGCTGGGACTACAGATGCCTGCCACCACGCCCGGCTATTTTTTTGTATTTTTAGTAGAGATGGGGTTTCACCGTGTTATCCAGGATGGTCTCAATCTCCTGACCTCGTGATCTGCCCGCCTCGGCCTCCCAAAGTGCTGGGATTACAGGCATGAGTCACCGTGCCCGGGCAATTTTTGTATTTTTTAGTAGAGACAGGGTTTCACCCTTTTGGCCAGGCTGGTCTTGAACTCCTGACCTCAAGTGATCCACCCGCCTCGGCCTCCCAAAAGGATTTATTTTTTGAAACCAGTTCCACAGCTCTCAGCTTGGTCCACTTATCTGTCCTCCCCAAGCTTCAGCTGTCACTTGTTAAACATGTATAATAATAGTACTTCAGGCCGGGCACGGTGGCTTGCACCTGTAATCCCAGCACTGTGGGAAGCTGAGGTGGGTGGATCACCTGAGGTCGGGAGTTCGAGACCAGCCTGGCTAACATGGTGAAACCCTATCTCTACTAAAAATACAAAAATTAGCCAGGTGTGGTGGAGCGCGCCTGTAATTCCAGCTACTAACAGAGAGGCTAAGGCAGGAGAATCGCTTGAACCTGGAAAGCAGGGGTTGCCGTGAGCCAAGATCATGCCACTGCACTCCAGCCTGGGTGACAGAGACACACTCCATCTCAAAAACACAAACAAACAAACAAAAAACATGTATAATAACAGTACTTCAGCCATAGGCATTGTACTCGAAGATGCTGAGAAAGGAGACAGTGGCCGGGCAAGGCTGTTCACACCTATAATCCCAGCACTTTGGGAGGCCAAGGCAGGTGGATCACCTGAGGTCAGGAGTTCAAGACCAGCCTAGCCAACATGGTGAAACCCCCATCTCTACTAAAAATTGAAAAATTAGCTGGGCCTGGTGGTGGACGCCTGTAATCCCAGCTACTAGGGAGGCTGAGGCAGGAGAATCGCTTGAACCTGGGAGGCGGAGGTTGCAGTGAGCTGAGATCGTACCACTGCACTCCGGCCTGGGCAACACAGTGAGACTCCATCTCAAAAAAATAAGAAAGGAGATAGTACTGGGGAACGCTCAGCACTGTGCGCCAGGTGCTGAACAACACCACTGCAGTCCTTGTTGTGGTGGATTGTACCATCTAGTTGCTGGCTAATATGGACAGAGATGCTGGCCCTTTGATTGGGGATGGAGCGTGGGAGCTGTGAAAGCTCCTCTGGGCTTGAGTTCCCACAGGAGGGTGGGCGTGTCCACAGAACACTTCCACTCACTCCCTGTCTCCCTTTCTCTCTTCTCCCCAGCTGACTTCAGGGACCTTTATACCAAAGTGCTTGAGGAAGAAGCTGCTTCTGTTTCCTCTGCAGATACAGGTCAGGCATGTGGTTTGCGCCCCAGGGATGGGGATTGGGCATGGCTGCCCAGCCCCCTCTCCACCCTACAATACCATTCTCTTATCTCTGTCTCTCTGCAGGGCTCTGCTCTGAAGCCTGCCTCTTCCGCCTAGCCCGCTGCCCTTCCCCCAAGTTGCTACGTGCCCGGTCAGCCGAGAAACGGCGCCCTGTGCCCACCTTCCAAAAAGTTCCCCTGCCCTCGGGCCCTGCACCTGCCCACTCCCTGGGGGACCTAAAGGGCAGCTGGCCAGGTCGGGGCCTGGTCACTCGTTTCCTCCAGATATCCAGGAAAGCCCCAGACCCCAGTGGGACTGGAGCTCATGGACATAAGCAGGTAGGAATTCGGGGAGCCAGGAAAGATGTTTGGGAAAGCGTGGAGCTTCAGATTGAGCCTTATTGATGATGCCCTTTCTTGTGTCCCTGTCCAGGTGCCCCGGAGCCTGTGGGGCCGGCCTGGCCGAGAGAGCCTCCACCTTCGCAGCTGCGGAGATCTGAGCTCTAGCTCTTCCCTGCGGCGTCTCCTGTCTGGCCGCAGGCTGGAGCGTGGTACCCGCCCCCACAGCCTCAGCCTCAACGGGGGCAGCCGGGAGACTGGGCTCTGACCTAGGCTTCTTGTCACACTGAACACATCCAGCCACAGGCACCAGCTGGTTGGGACCAGCAGCCCCCAGCATCCTCTTGCACTGGCTGGCACAAAAAGAAACCTGCTGTATACCCCCCAAAGTGTCCCTTTCCCTCCTACCTCTGGGGTCTCTTGCTGCTTGCCTCTGCTGCTCTGGACTGGGAGAGCTTCTGTCCTGTGCTGCATGGGTATTTAGACTGTGGGGGAGATGCCCCTTCTTATAGCACTGGAGGAGGAAAACAAATTCTTGTCCCCCTCAGAATGAGAGTGGCTCTTTCTGATTTGCAAGGGCACTATGGTCAGGGCAAAGGCATGGCCCAGGTGTTTAAGTACAGGGTGACGTGTGCCTATGCAATGGGGTGGTAAGGCAGGCACGAAGAGTCCAAAAAATCTAGGTGGCCTCTCAGCTCTGCCACCTCTAGCTGCATGACCTTGGGCAAGCTATGTAACCCCAATTGCCTGCTCCATTAAAGACTGTGAAGGTAGAATGTTTGTAAAGCTCTTAACAGTATGTAAGCCTTCAATAAATTTCAGTTTTCCCCTTGTTTTCTTGATCATTCTCTGTCACCAGTGAAATTTGTTCTAGTGTCTCTCATATTTAAGAAAACTCTTTCAGGACTGGGTATGGTGGCTCACACCTATAATCCTAGCACTTTGGGAGGCCGAAGCAAGAGGATCGCCTGAGCCTAGGAATTCAAGACCAGCCTGGGCAACATAGTGAGACCCTGTCTCTACAAAAAACAAAAAATTAGCCAGGCATGGTGGGACACGCCTGTAGTCCCAACTACTCAGGTGGCTAAGGTGAGAGGATCACTTGAGCTTGGGAAGTCCAGGCTGCAGTAAGCTGTGATTGAGCCACTGCACTACAGCCTGGGCAACAGAGCAAGACCATGTCTCAAAAAAAAAAAAAAAAGAAAAAAGAAACTTTCAAGACACTCTTTCCAACCACTAATTGTAACTCTGCTCCTCCTTTTCACAGCAATAGGTTTTCTTTTTCTTCCCTCCACTGTTAAACATCCATTCTCTCCTCACCCACCCCCATCAGACTCCTTCCCCTATCTTTCCACAGCCACTGCTCTGACCAAACTTTCCAGTGACCACAGTGGTGTCAGACCCAGTGACCATTTCTCTGCCTGCATCTCACTTGACCTCGAGGCAGCAATTAATACCCATAATCAGCATCTTCTTGAATTTGTCCCTTTGAAAAGGGAAATATTGGCTCTTCTACTTTGTCCTGCTGAACTGCTTAACATTGGAGGGCCCCAGGGCCCTCACCTAAGCCCTCTTTCCTACCTCCACTCTTTCTATAGGTGGCCCTACTACTAAAGTCCATGGCTTTAAATACCATCTTTCTATGTGTTAATCCATAACTCCAGCCTTGACCTCCCATGAGCGCCATCCAACTCAGCATGTCTGCTTGGATGTCTAATGGGCATTTCAGATTCAACATGGCCACAACTGAACTCTTGATTCCCACCCCAGCACCGGTTATTTTTCCACTGTTCCCATCTCAATGGCACCTCCATTACCCATTTGCACATTCCAAAAGCTCAGGAACCATGGTGACTTCTTTTCCCATATCCAACACAACCAATCCTATCCTGAATTCATCCACATCCCACCACCTCCCCAGCTACCTAGCTCCAGCCATCCTCTCTCCACAACCTCTGAATCAGTCTTTCACTTTTCCCAGCAATCCATTCTCCACTCAGCAAAATGATGATAAAGCACGTCACATCAAGGCTCTGCCTCAATTTAATGGCTTCCCATTGTATTTAGAATCATCTCCAAACTCCCAGAGACTATGGTCAGCTACAATCTGGCCCACCTTCTGTTCCAGCCAAATTTCCTCACAGCACAAGGACGTTTGCACCTGCTGTTTTCCAAGCATGAAACCCTTGGCCCCTATATCTGGTGCTATCACCTAATATCAGGTTTTAGCTCCATTCTCACCATTTCAGTGAGCACCCAATCCCCATCGCAGTCATTCTATCACATAGCCATGTTTTTTTTTGTTTGTTTGTTTCATTTTGTCTTTTTTTGAGACAGGGTCTTGCTTTGTTACCCAGGCTGGAGTGCAGTGGTGTGATTTGGGCTCACTGCAACCTTCCACCTCCTGGGTTCAAGCAATTCTCCTGCCTCAGCCTCCCGAGTAGCTGGGATTACAGGCGCCCGTCCCCATGCCCGCCCAGCTAAATTTTGTATTTTTAGAAGAGATAGGGTTTCACCATGTTGGCCAGGCGGGTCTCAAACTCCTGACCTCAAGTAATCCGCCTGCCTCGGTCTCCCAAAGTGCTGGGATTACAGGTGTGACTCACCGCGCCTGGCCACATACCCATGGTTTCAGCATGTATCACTATCTAAAATTATTATTTTTGTTTATATATCTGTGTCGTCCCATAGAATGTTAAGGTCCCAAGATCAGAAACTTGCTCATTGCAGTGGGTCTAACACTCAGTAGGTCCTCAACAAACATTCGTTAAGATACTAAAGTGGCAGGGTGGGGCCCTGTAAACAGCTTCAGGACCCTGTGCTTGTAGGGGCAACGTGGTGCCCTCCAAGGAAGACAGGGAGGTGGGAGGAGCACTGCCCAGAGATGGCGTCAGGCTGCAAGACTTCTTGAATAATTCAGCATCATAACAACCCAGCCTCAGGAAGGGATAGGGCACGGCCAGGACGAAACATTAGGAGGCGATGGACAATGGGATTCCCACGGGGCAGCTTCTGCGCACTGGACGTTCCCTAACCTGAGGCTCTCTAAAGAGGAAGGTTAGGAATCCTCTGAGCTTCGGTGGGCTGGACTCACTGTGGGAATTCAATCGCCCCCATCCACCAACAGTGTGCTGGCGGGAAAACGCCGACACGCATGCGTAGTTCTCGCGCCGGCTCCTCTCTCTCTCTCTCTCTCTCTCGCTCGCTCTCTCGCTCTCTCGCTCTCTCTCGCTCGCTCTCTCGCTCTCGCTCTCTCTCTCTCTCCGGCTCGCCAGCGACACTTGTTCGTTCAACTTGACCAATGAGACTTGAGGAAGGGCTCTGAGTCCCGCCTCTGCATGAGTGACCGTCTCTTTTCCAATCCAGGTCCCGCCCCGACTCCCCAGGGCTGCTTTTCTCGCGGCTGCGGGTGGTCGGGCTGCATCCTGCCTTCAGAGTCTTACTGCGCGGGGCCCCAGTCTCCAGTCCCGCCCAGGCGCCTTTGCAGGCTGCGGTGGGATTTCGTTTTGCCTCCGGTTGGGGCTGCTGTTTCTCTTCGCCGACGGTAGGCGTAATGAATATTTCGACCTTTGGATCTTAGCTGTCCCCTCCCTGCGTTCGCACTTAACCTTTTTCACCATTATTATTATTATTGTTATTATTATTATTTTTTGAGGGAGTCTCGCCCTGTCGCCCAGGCTGGAGTGTAATGGCGCCTTCTTGGCTCACTGCAACCTCCGCCTCCCGGGTTCAGGCGATTCTCCGACCTCAGCCTCCCAAGTACGTGGGATTACAGGCACCCGCCACCACGCACGGCTAATTTTTTGTATCTTTTAGTAGAGACGGGGTTTCACCATGTTGGTCAGGCTGGTCTCCAATTCCTGACCTCGTGATCCGCCCGCCTCGGCCTGCCAAACAGCTGTGATTATAGGCGTGAGCCACCGCGCCCGGCCAACCATCATTATTATTTTTAACGGTAAGGATGGTCAGATTTTACTAATGAAGAAGAGATTATAAAATCTTCAAGTCTTTATATCCACTTGCTTTTTGAGGGGTGGAGTGGGAAGAAGGTTATGTAATTCATACGTTCTTCAGACATGTGACAAACATTCACGGAGCCCGGCGACGAGCGTCGGGGTTGGGATTCGCACTGGAGCTGCAGATGGGTGCCAGGATGGACTGGTCCCTACCCTCCGCTTGAACCTAGGAGGCGGAGGTTGCAGTGAACCGAGATCGTGCCACTGCACTCCAGCCTGGGTGACAGAGATACTCCGTCTCAAAAAAAAAAACAAAACAAAAAACAAGCGGACTGGGCGCAGTGCCTCACCCTGTAATCCCAGCACTTTGCAAAGCCAAGGCGGGAGGATCCTTTGAGTTTAGGAGTTTGAGACCAACCTGCGCAACACAGTAAGACCCCGTCTCTACAAAAAATACAGAAATTAGCCAGGTGTGGTGGTGTGCGCCTATAGTCCCAGCTATTCTGGAGGCTGAGGTGGGAGGATTGCTTATTCTGGAGGCAGAGGTTGCACTGAGCCGAAATCAAGCTACTACACTCCATCCAGGGCAACATACGGAGACCCTGTCTCAAACAAACAAACAAAAAATTGCTCAGTACCTGGCCAAAAAAGAAGAGGCTCACTATGCAGAGGGGAAGTGGAAGGAGATGTTTGGACTTCTAAACTCAATAGAGCAGGAGAGGCAAATGTAGAATGTGCTCAGGAAATATCTGTGAGATGAATGAACTTGAGGGAAGTAAGGTACTAGATATTACCTGCCCTACCCAGAACAAATCCTGTGCAATGTTTCCTTGAAAAGTGAGAAGTCTGGAAGGGGTGGCTACTGACATAGTGAAGCAACTAGTTCAATTCTACAACTTGACAGCTACCCCTGTGCCAGGCTATCTACGAGGATACTTAGAATGCATAAGACATTCCTTCAAGGAACTCCAGGAACAGAGGCCTGACATGTTGCAATGTTTAGTGTCAAGCAGTGTACTAGAGACACATTATCACACTCAAACCTCACAACAATTCTGTGAGGTAGGAGTTATCACTCCCCTTTTATAGATGAAACAGAGGCTTAGAGTGATTGATTTATTGAAAGTCAAACAGCCAGTAAATGGTGTAGCCAGGATTCCAAACTTGCTGTCTCACTGAGACTGTACTTAATTACTGGAGGGACCGGGTGTGGTGGCTCATTGCTATAATCCCAACACCTTGGGAGGCTGAGGCTGGTGGATCACCTGAGGTCAGGGGTTCGAGACCAGCCTGGCCAACATGGTGAAACCCCATCTCTACTAAAAATACAAAAATTAGCTGGGCATGGTGGTGGGCTCCTGTAATCCCAGCTACTCAGGAGGCTGAGGCAGGGCAATTGCTTGAGCCGAGATCACACTGCACTCCAGCCTGGGCAACAGGGCAAGACTCTGTCTCAAAACCAAAAAAAAAAAAATTACTGGAGGAACCTAGAAGAAGAAATGATCAATTTTGCTTGGAGTGTATCTAGAAAGACTTCACTGAGATCATTTAAAGAACAAAAAGGATGGCTGGGGTCCAGCGCAGTGGCTCATGCCTGTAATCCCAGCACTTTCGGATACCAAGGCAGCAGATCACCTGAGGTCCAGAGTTTCAGACCAGCCTGGCCAACATAGTGAAACCCCATCTCTACTAAAAATAAAAAAATTAGCTGAGCATGTTGGAGGGCACCTGTAATCCCAGCTACTTGGGAGGCTGAGGCAGGAGAATCACTCGAACCCAGGAGGTGGAGGTTGCAGTGAGCCAAGATCACGCCACTGCACTCCAGCCTGGGCAACAGAGTGAGACTCTGTCTCAAAAAACAACAACAACAAAAAATACAAACAAGAGACAAGTAGTTCCCAGGTGCCTACCAAGTGGTCAGGCACTGCACTTACCTCACTGACTGCAGTAACCACCCTTTGAGGTTGTGGCATTGCCTCCATTTTCCAGGCAAGGAAATGGGCTGAGAGCTGGGATTAGTCAGGTCATGACTGTGTGTGCCACTCCCGCTAAATCTCATTTGATGTGGTTCATGAGGCCACACCATGGACAGCTTCCTCCTTGTGTCCACTGAGGATATGGCTTTGTACAACACTTTGGTTTTTGAACGACTTTACAAACCTCCCTGTCTTGTGAGGAAGGAAGAACAGTTATTACCATCTGCATCTGATGATGAAACAAGGGACGCTGCAGAGGAGCCGCACTGACCACTCCCTCCCTCCAGTCCTGTCATCCCACTGCCAGTGTCCCACCCTCTTGTGCCCTGCACTTCACTGGCTAATAACCCCCCTCACTTTTTCCTCTGTGAAGCCATCCTGGATAATTCCCCACCCACGAATGGTCCCTCCTCATCTCAGAGAGCTCTCCATGCACACCTGTTACCGTTTCTGTCTTTATCTGTAAATATCTGTGTGTCTGACTTCCATGCCTCACACACCTCTATAGGGCAAAGACTGTCTTAAACATCTTGGTAGTGTCAGTATTTTGCACAGTGAAGTTTTTTTTTTTAAATTATATCAGCTTTATTTGTACCTTTTTGACATTTCTATCAAAAAAGAAGTGTGCCTGCTGTGGTTCCCATCCTCTGGGATTTAGGAGCCTCTACCCCATTCTCCATGCAAATCTGTGTTCTAGGCTCTTCCTAAAGTTGTCACCCATACATGCCCTCCAGAGTTTTATAGGGCATATAATCTGTAACAGATGAGAGGAAGCCAATTGCCCTTTAGAAATATGGCTGTGATTGCCTCACTTCCTGTGTCATGTGACGCTCCTAGTCATCACATGACCCATCCACATCGGGAAGCCGGAATTACTTGCAGGGCTAACCTAGTGCCTATAGCTAAGGCAGGTACCTGCATCCTTGTTTTTGTTTAGTGGATCCTCTATCCTTCAGAGACTCTGGAACCCCTGTGGTCTTCTCTTCATCTAATGACCCTGAGGGGATGGAGTTTTCAAGTCCTTCCAGAGAGGTAAGAGAGAGAGCTCCCAATCAGCATTGTCACAGTGCTTCTGGAATCCTGGCACTGGAATTTAATGAATGACAGACTCTCTTTGAATCCAGGGCCATCATGGCTCTTTGAGCAAGGCACAGATGGAGGGAGGGGTCGAAGTTGAAATGGGTGGGAAGAGTGGTGGGGAGCATCCTGATTTGGGGTGGGCAGAGAGTTGTCATCAGAAGGGTTGCAGGGAGAGCTGCACCCAGGTTTCTGTGGGCCTTGTCCTAATGAATGTGGGAGACCGGGCCATGGGCACCCAAAGGCAGCTAAGCCCTGCCCAGGAGAGTAGTTGAGGGGTGGAGAGGGGCTTGCTTTTCAGTCATTCCTCATTCTGTCCTCAGGAATGTCCCAAGCCTTTGAGTAGGGTAAGCATCATGGCTGGCAGCCTCACAGGATTGCTTCTACTTCAGGCAGTGTCGTGGGCATCAGGTGAGTGAGTCAAGGCAGTGGGGAGGTAGCACAGAGCCTCCCTTCTGCCTCATAGTCCTTTGGTAGCCTTCCAGTAAGCTGGTGGTAGACTTTTAGTAGGTGCTCAATAAATCCTTTTGAGTGACTGAGACCAACTTTGGGGTGAGGATTTTGTTTTTTTTCTTTTGAAACAGAGTCTTACTCTGTTGCCTGGGCTGGAGTGCAGTGGTGCAATTTTGGCTCATTCCAACCTCTGCCTCCCAGATTCAAGCGATTCTCTTGCTTCAGCTTCCCAGGTAGCTGGGATTACAGGCGGCCACCACTACGCCCAGCTAATTTTTGTATTTTTAGTAGAGACGGGGTTTCACCATGCTGGCAAGGCAGGTCTCAAACTCCTCACCTCAGGTGATCCGCCCACCTCGGCCTCCTAAAGTGCTAGGATTACAGGTGTGAGCCCCTGCGCCCGGCCAAGGGGTGAGGAATTTTGAAACCGTGTTCAGTCTCTCCTAGCAGATGTGTCCATTCTCCATGTCTTCATCAGACCTCACTCTGCTTGTACTCCCTCCCTCCCAGGTGCCCGCCCCTGCATCCCTAAAAGCTTCGGCTACAGCTCGGTGGTGTGTGTCTGCAATGCCACATACTGTGACTCCTTTGACCCCCCGACCTTTCCTGCCCTTGGTACCTTCAGCCGCTATGAGAGTACACGCAGTGGGCGACGGATGGAGCTGAGTATGGGGCCCATCCAGGCTAATCACACGGGCACAGGTAACCATTACACCCCTCACCCCCTGGGCCAGGCTGGGTCCTCCTAGAGGTAAATGGTGTCAGTGATCACCATGGAGTTTCCCGCTGGGTACTGATACCCTTATTCCCTGTGGATGTCCTCAGGCCTGCTACTGACCCTGCAGCCAGAACAGAAGTTCCAGAAAGTGAAGGGATTTGGAGGGGCCATGACAGATGCTGCTGCTCTCAACATCCTTGCCCTGTCACCCCCTGCCCAAAATTTGCTACTTAAATCGTACTTCTCTGAAGAAGGTGAGGAGGAAGGGGACAAGATGACATAGAGCCATTGAAACTTTTCGTTTTTCTTTTCTTTTTTTAAAATTTTTTTGAGGCAGAATCTCACTCTGCCCATTCTGTCGGCGAGACAGGAGTGCAGTGGTGTGATCTCCCCTCACAGCAACCTCTGCCTCCCAGGCTATAGTGATTCTCCTGCCTCAGCCTCCTGAGTAGCTGGAATTATAGGCGTGCGCCACTACCACCTGGCTAATTTTTGTATTTTTAGTAGAGACAGGGTTTCATCATGTTGACCAGGCTAGTCTTAAACTCCTGACCTCAAATGATATACCTGCCTTGGCCTCCCGAAGTGCTGGAATTACAAGTGTGAGCCACCGAGCCCAGCAGACACTTTTCTTTTTTCTTTTTTTTTTTTTGAGACAGAGTCTCGCACTGTCACCCAGGCTGGAGTGCAGTGGCACAATCTCAGCTCACTGCAACCTCCACCTCCCGGGTTCAGGTGATTCTCCTGTCTCAGCCTCTCGAGTACCTGGGATTACAGGTGCCTGCCACCACGCCCGGCTAATTTTTTGTATTTTTAGTAGAGACAGGGTTTCACTATGTTGGCCAGGATGATTGCGAACTCCTGACCTCGTGATCTGCCCACATCGGCCTCCCAAAGTGCTGGGATTACATGCGTGAGCCACTGACACTTTTCTTTGCCCTTTCTTTGGACCCTGACTTCTGCCCATCCCTGACATTTGGTTCCTGTTTTAATGCCCTGTGAAATAAGATTTCACCGCCTATCATCTGCTAACTGCTACGGACTCAGGCTCAGAAAGGCCTGCGCTTCACCCAGGTGCCAGCCTCCACAGGTTCCAACCCAGGAGCCCAAGTTCCCTTTGGCCCTGACTCAGACACTATTAGGACTGGCAAGTGATAAGCAGAGTCCCATACTCTCCTATTGACTCGGACTACCATATCTTGATCATCCTTTTCTGTAGGAATCGGATATAACATCATCCGGGTACCCATGGCCAGCTGTGACTTCTCCATCCGCACCTACACCTATGCAGACACCCCTGATGATTTCCAGTTGCACAACTTCAGCCTCCCAGAGGAAGATACCAAGCTCAAGGTAGGCATTCTAGCTTTTTCAGGCCCTGAGGGCCCTGATGTCTGGGGGTTGAGAAACTGTAGGGTAGGTCTGCTTGTACAGACATTTTGTCCCCTGCTGTTTTGTCCTGGGGGTGGGAGGGTGGAGGCTAATGGCTGAACCGGATGCACTGGTTGGGCTAGTATGTGTTCCAACTCTGGGTGCTTCTCTCTTCACTACCTTTGTCTCTAGATACCCCTGATTCACCGAGCCCTGCAGTTGGCCCAGCGTCCCGTTTCACTCCTTGCCAGCCCCTGGACATCACCCACTTGGCTCAAGACCAATGGAGCGGTGAATGGGAAGGGGTCACTCAAGGGACAGCCCGGAGACATCTACCACCAGACCTGGGCCAGATACTTTGTGAAGTAAGGGATCAGCAAGGATGTGGGATCAGGACTGGCCTCCCATTTAGCCATGCTGATCTGTGTCCCAACCCTCAACCTAGTTCCACTTCCAGATCTGCCTGTCCTCAGCTCACCTTTCTACCTTCTGGGCCTTTCAGCCTTGGGCCTGTCAATCTTGCCCACTCCATCAGGCTTCCTGTTCTCTCGGTCTGGCCCACTTTCTTTTTATTTTTCTTCTTTTTTTTTTTTTTGAGAAGGAGTCTCTCTCTCTGTCACCCAGGCTGGAGTGCTGTGGCGCCATCTTCACTCACTGTAACCTCTGCCTCCTGAGTTCAAGCAATTCTCCTGCCTCAGCCTTCCAAGTAGCTGGGATTATAGGCGCCTGCCACCAGGCCCAGCTGATTTTTCTATTTTTAGTAGAGACGGGGTTTCGCCAGGCTGTTCTCGAACTCCTGAACTCAAGTGATCCACCTGCCTCGGCTTCCCAAAGTGCTGGGATTACAGGTGTGAGCCACCACACCCAGCTGGTCTGGTCCACTTTCTTGGCCGGATCATTCATGACCTTTCTCTTGCCAGGTTCCTGGATGCCTATGCTGAGCACAAGTTACAGTTCTGGGCAGTGACAGCTGAAAATGAGCCTTCTGCTGGGCTGTTGAGTGGATACCCCTTCCAGTGCCTGGGCTTCACCCCTGAACATCAGCGAGACTTCATTGCCCGTGACCTAGGTCCTACCCTCGCCAACAGTACTCACCACAATGTCCGCCTACTCATGCTGGATGACCAACGCTTGCTGCTGCCCCACTGGGCAAAGGTGGTAAGGCCTGGACCTCCATGGTGCTCCAGTGACCTTCAAATCCAGCATCCAAATGACTGGCTCCCAAACTTAGAGCGATTTCTCTACCCAACTATGGATTCCTAGAGCACCATTCCCCTGGACCTCCAGGGTGCCATGGATCCCACAGTTGTCGCTTGAAACCTTTCTAGGGGCTGGGCGAGGTGGCTCACTCATGCAAACCCAGCACTTTGGGAAGCCGAGGCGGGTGATCACCTGAGGTCAGGAGTTTAAGACCACCCTGGCCAACGTGTTGAAACCCTGTGTCTACTAAAATACAAAAAAAAAAAATTATCTGGGCATGATGGTGGGTGTCTGTAATCCCAGCTACTCAGGAGGCTGAGAAGGGAGAATCAGTTGAACCCGGGAGATGGTGGTTGCGGTGAGCCGAGATCGCGCCACTGCACTCCAGCCTGGGAGGCTGAGCGAGACTCCATCTCGAAACAAAACAAAACAAAACTATCTAGGCTGGGGGTGGTGGTTCATGTATGTATGTGTATATACATATATATGTGTTTATATGTATATATATATACACACACACACATACATACACACACATACACACACAAATTAGCTGGGTGTGGCACCCGTGTAGTCCCAGCTACTCAGGAGGCTAATGTGGGAGGATCAGTTGACCCTAGGAAGTCAAGGCTGCAGTGAGTCGTGATTGCGCCACTGTACTCCAGCCCGAGTGACAGAGTGACATCCTGTCTCAAAAACAAAAAAAAATCTCCCCAAACCTCTCTAGTTGCATTCTTCCCGTCACCCAACTCCAGGATTCCTACAACAGGAACTAGAAGTTCCAGAAGCCTGTGTGCAAGGTCCAGGATCAGTTGCTCTTCCTTTGCAGGTACTGACAGACCCAGAAGCAGCTAAATATGTTCATGGCATTGCTGTACATTGGTACCTGGACTTTCTGGCTCCAGCCAAAGCCACCCTAGGGGAGACACACCGCCTGTTCCCCAACACCATGCTCTTTGCCTCAGAGGCCTGTGTGGGCTCCAAGTTCTGGGAGCAGAGTGTGCGGCTAGGCTCCTGGGATCGAGGGATGCAGTACAGCCACAGCATCATCACGGTAAGCCACCCCAGTCTCCCTTCCTGCAAAGCAGACCTCAGACCTCTTACTAGTTTCACCAAAGACTGACAGAAGCCCTTCCTGTCCAGCTTTCCCCAGCTAGCCTGCCCTTTTGAGCAACTCTGGGGAACCATGATTCCCTATCTTCCCTTTCCTTCACAGGTCTGCACACCTCATTGCCCCTTTTGCAACTACTGAGGCACTTGCAGCTGCCTCAGACTTCTCAGCTCCCCTTGAGATGCCTGGATCTTCACACCCCCAACTCCTTAGCTACTAAGGAATGTGCCCCTCACAGGGCTGACCTACCCACAGCTGCCTCTCCCACATGTGACCCTTACCTACACTCTCTGGGGACCCCCAGTGTTGCGCCTTTGTCTCTTTGCCTTTGTCCTTACCCTAGAACCTCCTGTACCATGTGGTCGGCTGGACCGACTGGAACCTTGCCCTGAACCCCGAAGGAGGACCCAATTGGGTGCGTAACTTTGTCGACAGTCCCATCATTGTAGACATCACCAAGGACACGTTTTACAAACAGCCCATGTTCTACCACCTTGGCCACTTCAGGTGAGTGGAGGGCGGGCACCCCCATTCCATACCAGGCCTATCATCTCCTACATCGGATGGCTTACATCACTCTACACCACGAGGGAGCAGGAAGGTGTTCAGGGTGGAACCTCGGAAGAGGCACACCCATCCCCTTTTGCACCATGGAGGCAGGAAGTGACTAGGTAGCAACAGAAAACCCCAATGCCTGAGGCTGGACTGCGATGCAGAAAAGCAGGGTCAGTGCCCAGCAGCATGGCTCCAGGCCTAGAGAGCCAGGGCAGAGCCTCTGCAGGAGTTATGGGGTGGGTCCGTGGGTGGGTGACTTCTTAGATGAGGGTTTCATGGGAGGTACCCCGAGGGACTCTGACCATCTGTTCCCACATTCAGCAAGTTCATTCCTGAGGGCTCCCAGAGAGTGGGGCTGGTTGCCAGTCAGAAGAACGACCTGGACGCAGTGGCACTGATGCATCCCGATGGCTCTGCTGTTGTGGTCGTGCTAAACCGGTGAGGGCAATGGTGAGGTCTGGGAAGTGGGCTGAAGACAGCGTTGGGGGCCTTGGCAGGATCACACTCTCAGCTTCTCCTCCCTGCTCCCTAGCTCCTCTAAGGATGTGCCTCTTACCATCAAGGATCCTGCTGTGGGCTTCCTGGAGACAATCTCACCTGGCTACTCCATTCACACCTACCTGTGGTGTCGCCAGTGATGGAGCAGATACTCAAGGAGGCACTGGGCTCAGCCTGGGCATTAAAGGGACAGAGTCAGCTCACACGCTGTCTGTGACTAAAGAGGGCACAGCAGGGCCAGTGTGAGCTTACAGCGACGTAAGCCCAGGGGCAATGGTTTGGGTGACTCACTTTCCCCTCTAGGTGGTGCCAGGGGCTGGAGGCCCCTAGAAAAAGATCAGTAAGCCCCAGTGTCCCCCCAGCCCCCATGCTTATGTGAACATGCGCTGTGTGCTGCTTGCTTTGGAAACTGGGCCTGGGTCCAGGCCTAGGGTGAGCTCACTGTCCGTACAAACACAAGATCAGGGCTGAGGGTAAGGAAAAGAAGAGACTAGGAAAGCTGGGCCCAAAACTGGAGACTGTTTGTCTTTCCTGGAGATGCAGAACTGGGCCCGTGGAGCAGCAGTGTCAGCATCAGGGCGGAAGCCTTAAAGCAGCAGCGGGTGTGCCCAGGCACCCAGATGATTCCTATGGCACCAGCCAGGAAAAATGGCAGCTCTTAAAGGAGAAAATGTTTGAGCCCAGTCAGTGTGAGTGGCTTTATTCTGGGTGGCAGCACCCCGTGTCCGGCTGTACCAACAACGAGGAGGCACGGGGGCCTCTGGAATGCATGAGAGTAGAAAAACCAGTCTTGGGAGCGTGAGGACAAATCATTCCTCTTCATCCTCCTCAGCCATGCCCAGGGTCCGGGTGCCTGGGGCCCGAGCAGGCGTTGCCCGCTGGATGGAGACAATGCCGCTGAGCAAGGCGTAGCCCACCATGGCTGCCAGTCCTGCCAGCACAGATAGGATCTGGTTCCGGCGCCGGTATGGCTCCTCCTCAGTCTCTGGGCCTGCTGGTGTCTGGCGTTGCGGTGGTACCTCAGCTGAGGGTCAAGGAAGGAAGGTGTGTTAGGAGAACTAGTTCTTGGATCCCTGCCCACTCTCCCCAGGGCTGCCCCTCCCATCTGCCCCTTACCTCCATCCCAGGGGAAGTAGAGACTGAGAATGTGGGTACAATAGGCACAGAGGTTGTGCAGCCCACGCAGGTGGACCTGCAGCTTCCCACTGGGCAGCTTTGCCTGCAGCAGCAGGGCCAAGTAGCTGAAGACGAAGGCGTCCAAGGAGGCAGGGCTGGAGCAGAGAGAGAAGGGTGGGATGGAGGAGAACCACTGGGGTAGAAGGGGTAAAGATGGAGCTGGAGGAAGAGTCAGCCTTGGGAGGTGGGCTCTGGGCAGCAGGCGGCCACCAGGGAAGGACAGGACACACAGTTCTAGACCTGGTATGGGGAGAGATCCCCAGGTGGCGCCAGCCTGGCCCTGAATAGGGCTCTATCCCAGGGCTGCATAAAGGGCACACTCAGTGCCCCACAGCTCTTCAGGCCCTTCCTGTGCCTGGCTGCCCTCCCACCCTACCCTTTTGTACCTCTGAGAAGGCTCTGGCCCCACGCACAGCCCCACTGTCACCAGGGCCAGTATCTGTCTCAGGGACCTCCTATCCAGAGCCTGAGCCAGCCCCAGCCCCAGCCCCAGCTCCAGCTGCTCCATCTGAACCTGTATCTTCTTCCAAGCCACCCATTACCCTCTTGGAGTCAGACTCACGCATCTCCAAAGAAGAACTTTTGAGAGCCCAGGCGCTGAGAGAGCAGGGTCAGACACTCCCGAGCCTCTCGGTACAGCTGTAGGGGCGACACAGGTAGGCTTGCAGCTGCGGGAACAGTGCCACCTCTGCACCTAAGCACTCCCATTCCTGGCCAGCATCCTTGGGGCTCATCTCATACAATAGCCCCCGGTCTCAGAGCTACCTCCTTCTCCAGCTCTTCCTCGTCCTCAGGCCTGTGCTCCCCAGTCAGCAGCTGTAGCCGTTCCATGTACTGCCGCTGCATGCGGCCAGGCAGGAAGAAGTTGAGGGGAAAGGGCATAGCCTCTGCATACCACTTCCGGGTCACTTCTACGTAGTTCTTGGTGTCTATCCAAAAAGTATGTACCTGGATTGGGTGGGCAGGAAGAAACAGGCAGGTCTGAGCCAGTGCACCTGTCTGATTCAAGGTGGGCTTCTGACCTCCATGCTCTCCTGAGTCTCTGTGTGGGTCTGTGTGTGCCCGTCCCCTCCCCGGCTGGCCATGGATGCTGGGAGGTCTGGGCACACTCACCAGCACCGGGATCAACTTCTCCTCCAGGAGAGACATGAAGGCCAGGGTGTCTGCCCCTTGCTGAGCTGACAGATCATAATCAGCATTGTACTTCTGTGGAGGAAATATCCATGGCGTGGACGCTGGGGAGCTGCAAGGGCACTTCACCAGGGAGGAAGGAGTCCTGTCTGGTACCCCCCTCACTGGCCTCTGAGTGCAGTGGAGGTACAGCAAGGAACTTTTCCTGCCAAGGCCCCCTTGCCTGGGCCCAGCCAGTAGCCTGTTGCTGTTGGCAAAAAGCCTGGGCCTTGGAGCCCGCTGGCCGTCAAGGTCCTGGGCCCATTGAGAAGAAGGAAGAAAGGTTGGGCCGCAAACTAGGAGCAGCTCCCAGAATTTCCATGGAAAGCTGGAACAATGCCTGCTGACAGCAACTTTCTAACAGTAACTTTCCCGACCCAGACACCACAAAGCTAGCACAACGGAGCTCAGATGCAGGCTAGGACTCGGTCCATGCCTCAGGAACCAGGGAAAGCCATCCTCACACTCCCTGGATCCAGGGAACCCACGCCCAGGGCCCCCCAGCTTGTTCCCTCAGTGCCCAGCTCTTGGCTATTTCTTTCACTTCATTCCATCGCCCAGACACCATTACCACATACACATTCCACCCATACCCCCAGGTCTCAGCCTGCCCTACCTTCCCAGGCTCCAGTCCCTGTTCCTCAGCATCCCCCACCACATCCTGAGTAAGCTTTGTCCCCAGATAACCTCTTCAGCATGATCCTTAAATCTCCCTAAGCCTCAGTTTCTCCCCTGTGGAATGGGGGTAAGAATCTCTTTCTCTGAATGCCCCTGTGTTAGGAAATAATTTAGAATACTTCGGAAACAAAAAGCTCTGTTCACACCTAAGCAATCAGGGCAGTGGCCCTGGCCTTGCCAGGAACTTAGGCTTTTATCTGGATCCTCTTTCCAGGCCTCTCAATTAATTCCCCAGGTCCTTAACCTTTGGGAAATTAGAAATTAGGAAGAGTGTCCCACTTCTGACACTGTGTTCCCTCTTGGAACCTGACCGTCAATGCTAGAAGAACCCTTGGAAAACATGCTGGCCCAGCCCTCTAGTTTTACAAATAAGGGAGTGCACAGCCCTGAGAGGTTACATGGCCTGCCCAAGATCACGCAGTCAATGGCAGAGTAAAGAGCATAGCCTAGGCCTCCCCACTCCTCTAGTAATGCTCTTTCATCTTCTCCAACCTGGCTCTAAGCCTTGTCCATCCTGAGCCCCATATCTAGCCCAACCTAGTCCCTGAAAACAAGAAGTGGCCCTTAGAAATCTCTCTCCAGTCCCACTATCAGAGGCCAACTGCTGTCTTCCAGTCTCCTTCAGCCTGTGCTCCTCTCCCTCCCTGACTGACAGGCAGAAGGTACTGTGCCTCTGGATATCCCCACAGTGCCCTGAGCTGCATCTCTTGCTGACTGCTTTAATACATCACAGTGACATTGTGTGTGTCTCTGCCACCAGACTATTGCTCCTTGATGCTCTGGGTCACCTGCATCTAGCATGGCATATATCTAGTGCTCAATAAATGTGTATTGTACAGAATTGACTGAACTTCTCTCACTGGCAGCCCCCTCTATCCAAATCACCCACCTCTTTTTGAAGGTGGGTGATGATCTTGTGTGGTACTGAGGTGACCTCTCCATGACTGGTCCAAAGGGCAGGCAGGGTTCCTGATACTGAGAGAAAAGTATACCAACCAGGACCTTAGCTGCCTATCCATACGTAGTTGCAACACATTCCTGCCTATCTCCTGCTTCTCCTCTTGTACACACCCTTCCTCACCCCCAAGGGATACTGGGTACCTGAAGGGCTCTGCCAGGGGTTGCTGATCTTGTGCTATATGGTGCACAAGAAACTTTTAAGAAAAAAGAAACTTTCAAGACACACTTTCCAACCACGAATTCTATCTCTGCTCCTTTTCATAGCAATAGGTTTTCTTTTTCTTCCCTCCACACTTAAACATCCATTCTCTTATCACCCACCCCCATCAGACTCCTTCCCCTGTGTTTCTTCAGCCACTGCTCTGACCAAAATTTGAGTGACCAAAAGTGGTGTCAGACCCAGTGACCATTTCTCTGCCTGCATTTCACTTGACCTTGAAGCAGCAATTAATCTCCATAATCAGCATCTTCTTGAATTTTTCCCTTTGAGGACATTGCTCTTCTACTTTGTGCTCTGGTTATCCTTTACAAACTTTTACACCTCTCCTGAACTGGTTAACAGTAGAGGGCCCCAAGGGTCTCACGTAAGCCTTCTTTGTTTTTGTTTTTTTTCTTTTATTTTATTTTTTATATATTTTTTTGAGACGGAGTCTTGCTCTGTTGCCCGGGCTGGAGTGCAGTTGCACGATCTCGGCTCACTGCAAGCTCTGCCTCCCAGGTTCATGCTATTCTCCTGCCTCAGCCTCCCGAGTAGCTGGGACTACAGGTGCCTGCCACCATGCCTGGCTAATTTTCTGTATTTTTAACAGAGACAGGGTATCACCATGTTAGCCAGGATGGTCTCGATCTCCTGACCTCGTGATCTGCCCACCTCAGCCTCCCAAAATGCTGGGATTACAGGCGTGAGCCACTGCTCCCAGCCGTCATTTTTATTTTATTTTATTTATTTTTTTGAGATGGAGTCTTGCTCTTTTGCCAGGCTGGAGTGCATGGTGCGATCTCGGCTCATTGCAACCCCCGCCTCCCAGGTTCAAGCGATTCTCCTGCCTCAGCCTCCTGAGTGGCTGGGACTACAGGTGCCTGTCACCATGCCTGGCTAATTTTCTGTATTTTTAGTTGAGACAGGTTTTCACCTTGTTAGCCAGGATGGTCTCGATCTGCTGACCTCGTGATCTGCCTGCGTCGGCCTCCCAAAGTGCTGGGATTACAGGCATGAGCCACTGCACCCGGCCATCAATTTTTTTTTTTTTAAATGGAGTCTTGCTCTGTCACCCGGGTTGGAGTGTAACAGTGCAATCTTGGCTCATTGCAACCTCCGCCTCTTGGGTTCAAGCGATTCTCCTGCCTCAGCCTCCTGAGTAGCTGGGACTACAGGTGCATGCCACCACACCCGGCTAGTTTTTGTATTTTTAGTAGAGACGGGGTTTCACCATGTTGTCCAGGATGGTCTCAAACTCCTGACCTCAAATGATGTGCCTGCCTTGACCTTCCAAAGTGCTGGGATTAGAGGCGTGAACCACATTGCCCACCGTAAGCCCTCTTTTCTACTTCCACTCTTTCTGTAGGTGGCCCTACTACTAACGTCCATGGCTTTAAGTACCATCTTTCTATGTGTTAATGCATAACTCCAGCCTTGACCTCTCTTGAGCGCCATCCAACTCAGCATATCTGGTTGGATGTCTAATGAGTATTTCAAATTCAACATGGCCACAACTGAACTAACTGAACTCTTTTTTTTTTTTTAGGCAGAGTTTTGCTCTTGTTGCCCAGGCTGGAGTGCAATGGCGAGATCTTGGCTCACTGCAACCTCTGCCTCCAGGGTTCAAGCGATTCTCCTGCCTCAGCCTCCCGAGTAGATGGGATTATAGGCCCCGCTACCCGGCTAATGTTTTTGTATTTTTAGTAGAGACAGGGTGTTGCCATATTGACCAGGCTGGTCTGCAAATCCTGACCTCAGGTGATCCCCCTGCCTCGGCCTCCCAAAGTGCTGGAATTACAGGCGTGAGTCACTGCGCCCGGCCACACAACTGAGCTCTTCATTCCCACCCCAGCACCGGTTATTTTTCCACTGTTCCCATCTCAATGGCACCTCCATTACCCATTTGCACATTCCAAAAGCCCAGGAACCATGGTGACTTCTTTTCCCATATCCAACACAACCAATCCTATCTTGAATTCATCCACGTCCCACCACCTCCCCAGCTACCTAGTTCCAGCCACCCTCTCTCCACAACCTCTGAATCAATCTTTCACTTTTCCCAGCAATCCATTCTCCACTCAGCAAAATGATGATAAAGCACGTCACATCAAGGCTCTGCCTCAATTTAATGGCTTCCCATTGTATTTAGAATCATCTCCAAGCTCTCAGAGACTATGGTCAGCTACAATCTGGCCCACCTTCTGTTCCAGCCAAATTTCCTCACAGCACAAGGACGTTTGCACCTGCTATTTTCCAAGCACGAAACCCTCGGGCAGATATATCTGGTGCTGTCACCTAATTTCAGGTTTTAACTCCACTCTCACCATTTCAGTGAGGACCTAATCCCCATCGCAGTCATTCTATCACATAGCTTTATTTTATTTTATTTTATTTTTTTTTGAGATACAGTCTGGCTCTCTCACCCAGGCTGGAGTGCAGTGGTGTGATCTGGGCTCACTGCAAACTTCCATCTCCTGCGTTCAAGCGATTCTCCTGCCTCAGCTTCCCGAGTAGCTGGGATTACAGGTGTCTGCCATCACGCCTGACTAAGTTTTGTATTTTCAGTAGAGACGGGGTTTTGCCATGTTAGCCAGGCTGGTCTCGAACTCCTTGACCTCAAGTGATCCACCTGCCTCAGCCTCCCACAATGTTGGATTTACAGGCGTGAGCCACTGCTCCCGGCCACATAGCCATGTTTTAAGCATGTATCACTATCTAAAATTATTTTTTGTTTATACGTTTGTGTCGTCCTGTAGAATGTAAGGTCACAAGATCAGGGACTTGCTCATTGCACTGGGTCTAACACACAGTGCTTCCTCAACAAACACTCGTTAAGATACTAACGTGGCAGAGTGGGGCCTTGTAAACAGTTTCAGGACCCTGTGCTTGTAAGAGCAACGTGGTGCCCTCCCAAGGAAGACAGGGAGGATGCAGGAGCACTGCCCAGAGATGGCGTCAGGCTGCAAGACATCTTGAATAATTCACCATCGTAACAACCCAGCCTCAGGAAGAGATGGGGCAAGGCCAGAACGAAACATTAGGTAAGAGGCGGTGGACAATGGGATTCCCACAGGGCAGCTTTTGGGCACTGGACGTTCCCTAACCTGAGGCTCTCTGAAGAGGAAGGTTAGGAATCCTCTGAGCTTCGGTGGGCTGGACTCACTGTGGGAATTCAATCGCCCCCCCCACCCACTAAGGGTGTGCTGGCGGGAAAGCGCTGAGACGCATGCGTAGTTCTCGCGTCTGGCACCCGCTCCCTTTCCAATACGCTTGCGCCCCATCTGTGCTACGGATGGTCAGGGAGAGTTGTCCGTCTTCAAATGGACCAATGAGACTTGTGGAGGGGCTCTGAGTCCCGCCTCTGGATGAGTGACCGTCTCTTTTCCAAGTGAGGCCCCGCCCCGCCTCCCCAGGGCTGCTTTTCTCGCGGCACGGGTGGTGGGGCTGCTTCTTGACTTCCGCGCCTAGTGCGCGGGGCCCCATTCTCCAGTCCCGCCCACGCGCCTTTGGAGGCTGCGGTGGGATTTCCTTTTGCCTTCGGTTGGGGCTGCTGTTTCTCTTCGCCGACGGTAGGCATTATAAATATTTCGCCCTTTGAATTTTAGCTCTCCCCTCCCGGCGTTCGCACTTAGCCTTTTTCATCATTATCATTATTTTTAATGGTAAGGATGGTCAAATTTTACTAATGAAGCGATTATAAAATCTTCAAGTCTTTGTATCCACTTGCTTTTTGAGGGCTGGAGTGGGAAGAAAGGTATATAATTCATTCATTCTTCGGACATGTGACAAACGTTCACGGAGCGCGGCAACGAGCGCCGGTGTCGCGATGCGCACTGGGGCTGCACATGGGAGCCAGGATGGACTGGACTGGTCCCTGCCCTGCCCGCTGACGATTGGCAGGCCACTGCCTTTGATGAGCTGGGCGCTATAACTGCCATTAAGCCATTTGTACAATTAATCACAACAGTGATAAGAGCGACAAAGGAGCTATTCGGGTGGCTGAGGCGGGAGGATCTTTTGAGCCCAGGAGTTCGAGACCAGCCTGGGGAATAGAGCGAGATCCTGTCTCAAAAAAAGGGGGAGAAAAAGTGACAAAGAAGTTGTGAGGGCTATGAGTTTGCGTTAGAGGAGGTGTGTGAGGTGGGGAGGCGGCAGGGGGCGCGGTTGTTCTTAGAGAAAGTGACATCCGGGCTAATTTTGAAAGAATAAGTGTTAACTAGGCTAAGCGGTGGGAAAGAGTAGTGTGTGCTGAAGGAAGGGAAGAGGAACCTGGCAAGTTCATGGCAGGCTGTAATTGGATGCTGGTCTCCCTCCACACTTGACTCCTACAGTCTGATTTCTACACAGCACCCAAAGTGATCTCTTAAAAATACACATGTGATCTTGTCACTTCCCAGCACCAAACTCTACAGTGAATTTCCATCTTAGAACAAAATTCAGACTCCTTACCATGGCCACCAAGACCCTACACAATCTGGCCTCCCAATTTCCTTTTCCAAGGTCACCTTTTACCACTATCCATCTCACTCACACTGCTCCAGCACTCTCTATGCTTTTATTTTTCTTTCTTCCTCTTTCTTTCTTTCTTTCTTTTTCTTTTTCTTTCTTTCTTTCCTTCCTTCTCTCTCTCTCTCTTTCTTTTCTTTTCTCTTTCTTTTTTTTTTTTTGAGATGCAGTCTTGCTCTGTCACCCAGGTGGTGTGATCTTGGCTCACTGCAACCCAGAGCAGTGGGGGTGATCTTGGCTCACTGCAGCCTCCGCCTTCCAGGTTCAAGCAATTCTGCCTCAGCCTCCTGAGTAGCAGGGATTAGCGCCATCAGTCCCAGCTAATTTTTGTATTTTTAGTAGAGATTTCATCATGTTGTCCAGGCTGGTCTCGAACTCCTGACTTCAAGTGATCTGCCCATCTCAGCCTCCTAAAGTGCTGAGATTACAGGCAGGAGCCACCACACCTGGCTCAGTATTTGTTTTATTTTTGTTGTGTTTATTTATTTAGAGACAAGGTCTTGCTCTGTTGCTCAGGCTGGAGTGCTGTGGCAGGAACACAGCTCACTGCAGCCTCCACTACCTCAATTCAGGCGATCCTCCCACCTCAGCTGAGACTACAGGTGTGCATCACCATGCCTGGTTAATTTTTTCGTTTTACCATGTTGGCCAGGTTTGTCTCGAACTCTTGGGCTCTGCTGTCCTCCTACCTTAGCCTCCCAAAGTGCTAGGATTGTAGGCGTGAGCCACTGTGCCCAGCTGGTGTTCAGTATTTGAATCCATATTTCCTGTAGCCGCAACCAAAGTTCCACTGTTAGGTCTCACTTTGACTTTAATAATTGTGTTCAGGCTGGGCACACTGGCTCAAGCCTGTAATCTCAGCAGTTTGGGAGGCCGAGGTGGGTGGATCACATGAGGTCAGGTGTTTGAGACCAGCCTGTCCAACATGGCGAAACCCTGTCTCTACTAAAAATACAAAACATTCTCCGATCGTAGTGGCGGGCGCCTGTAATCCCAGCTACTTGGGAGGCTGAAGCAGGAGAATTGCTTGAACCTGGGAGGCAGAGGTTGCAGTGAGCGGAGATCACGTCATTGCACTCCAGCCTGGGCTACAGAGCGAGACTCTGTCTCAATAAGTAAATAAATAAATAAATAAATAAATAAATAAATAAATAAATAATTGTGTTCGGAGTCAGCATCATTCTTCCTGAAGTTCACCACTCCTTTGCCAAGAACACTTCCTGAAACACTGACAAGCAGGACCTTGAATAGTGGGGTATGGTTGGTAACAACTCACTCATTCAACAAACATTGAGCACCTATTTTGTGCTTGCCTCTAAATGAAGAGCTGGTTGTATTATTTATTTTTTTAGGTGACAGGGCTTTCCCTATGTTGCCCAGGTTCGTCTCAAACTCCTGGGCTCAAAAGATCCTCATCTTCTCAAGTGGTTGAATATACACGCTCCAGCGACCATGCCTGGCTGAATGAAGAGCTTTGAGATTTTGAAGAAACAGGAACCATGAAATTTGCTTTGCAACTGTTTGCAACCTTTAAGGAAGACTGAAAAGGCATTCCTGAAGCATGTGAGAAGCAGTCTGTGTGACCTGATGACTCAGAACTGCTTGGAATTTAGATTAGGACAGATATGAGCTTAGGCTTCACTCTGCCACATATTTAACTTCTCTAAGTCTTAGTTTTCTTTTCTTTTTTTTTTTTTTTGAGATGGAGTCTCGCTCTGTCACCCAGGCTGGAGTGCAGTGGCACGATCTTGGCTCACTGCAAGCTCCGCCTCCCGGGTTCACGCCATCCTCCTGCCTCAGCCACCCGAGTAGCGGGGACTACAGTCGCACACCGCCACGCCTGGCTAAATTTTTGTATTTTTAGTAGAGACGGGGTTTCACCGTGTTAGCCAGGATGGTCTCGATCTCCTAACCTTGTGATCCGCCCGCTTCGGCCTCCCAAAGTGTTGGGATTACAGGTGTGAGCCATCGCGTCTGGCCTCTAAGTCTTAATTTTCTTATCTGTAATGTAGAGTTGTCAGGCTAGTGCATGTAATAAGCACTCATGAAAGACTGACTATTATCTTGCGAAAAATTGGAAGAGATCATGAGGTACAAGGACCTTCCATCTGCACTGGGCTGTACATTGAATGTTGTGGTTACTGTTGAAGCATTGGTAAATCACATGAATCCAATGGTAAAACCACACCCTAAGGTCAGACTCAGTGGCTCACGCCTGTAATTCCAGCACTTTGGGAAACCA
Source organism: Homo sapiens (assembly GCF_000001405.40). Lineage (NCBI taxonomy): Eukaryota > Metazoa > Chordata > Mammalia > Primates > Hominidae > Homo > Homo sapiens. The sequence continues at coordinate 29,226 of NW_003315906.1, read as the reverse complement.
AGGCAAGAGGATTGCTTGAGCTCAGGAGTTCGATACCAGTCTAGGCAACCTGTTTCTATAAAAAGTTAAAAAATTAGCTTGGTGTGGTGGTGTGCACTTCTGGTCCCAGCTACTCAGGAGGCTAAGGTGGGAGGATCCCTTGAGCCCAGGTGGTCGAGGCTGCAGTGAGCCAGGATCACACCATTGCATTCCAGCCTGGATGACAGTGTGAGGCCCTGTCTTAAAAAAGACAAAAACAAACCAAAAAAACCCACACCCTAGTGGGTAAGGGGCAGCAGAGGTCCCACCCAAGAGTGAAATCATTTTTGGTGTCAGTAATCAGGGAGAGTAATATACCCTCAGGCCAGAAACTAGAGGTGAGTGATGGCTCACGCCTATAATCCCAGCACCTTGGGAGGCTGAGGCAGGTGGATTGCTTGACCTCAGGAATTCGAGACCAGCCTGGGCAACATAGCAAGACCCCATCTCTAAAAATAAATTTCAAAAATTAGTTGGGCATGGTGGCATGTACCTGTAGTCCCAGCTACTATGGAGGCTGAGGTGGGAGGATCCAATTGAGCCTGAGAGGTCAAAGCTGCAGTGAATTGTGATTGTGCCAAGACCCTGTCTCTAAAATAAAATAAAATTACAATTAAAAACTAGAGCTGAAAGGACAGGTTCTAGGTTAACTGGTAGTAGTTGTTCATTCATCTGTATAAAAAGTACTTTTTTGAGCACCTACTCTGTGCTGTGCATGGAATGAACAAATGTCTTTATTTGACTTGAACACAGACCATAGAAGTAACTAACAGTGGAACTGGGAGTGGCACTCTCCATGGGACCTAAAGACCTAGGAGCCTGTGATATGATACCTGTCAGTGTGAAAGGGCTGGAGTTTGCTATCTGAGCCAGACCTACACTCCAAGACAGGTCTTGCTGGGATGGGATCAAAATTGCTGCTGGGTCAGCCGAACTATTTTTGTACTTCTGCTTTTCACTTATATTTATGTCTTCCCTAGGTATATAGCTGTCTTTTTTTGTTTGCTTGTTTTTCTGAGTCAGAGTCTTGCTCTGTCACTCAGGCTGGAGTGCAGTGGCGCGTCTCGGCTCACTGCAACATCCACCTCGGGTTCAAACGATTCTCCTGCCTCAGATTCCCGAGTAGCTAGGATTACAGGTGCCCACCACCATGCCCGGCTAATTTTTTGTATTTTTAATAGAGATGGGGTTTAGTAGAGACAGGGTTTCACTGTGTTATCCAGGATGGTCTCCATCTCCTGACCTCGTGATCTGCCCGCCTCAGCTTCCCAAAGTGCTGGGATTACAGGCATGAGCCACTGCGCCCGGCCACTGGAGACCCCTTTTCTACCAAAAAAAATAAAAATAAATAAATAAATATATATATATATTTGTAAAGACGGAGTCTCTCTATGTTGCCCAGGCTGGTCTTGAACTCCTGGCCTCAAGGGATCCTCTTGTCTCAGCTTCTTAAAATGATGGGGTTACAGGCATGAGCCACCGTACCAGGCCTTAGCAAACTCTTTTTCAAGTGCTATACAAAGGGGACAGAGGAACGTGATTGTGGCCACCTAGTATGCCCCTATTGGCCACTGCAGTGAGGCCTAGGTGTTTGAAGAGAGGCACCTAGGGTAGTGGCTCTCAGGCACACCCTAGGGGCATTTTGGAAATTTGTGGGGCATCTTTAATAGAGACAATGATTAGGAGGCACTTTGAGAATTTAGTGGATGGAGCCCAGGAAAGGTAGACATTCTGCAACATGTAGTACATTCATACACAAGGAAGAATTCACTCATTTCACCTGACTTACAAATATAAAATCAAATATAAATCAGTAGGACTTTATTATAAAATATTGCAGAAAAGTTTCACAAGAATTTTTTGTAGAAAAAGCCCAATCAGGGCCGGGCATGGTGGCTCATGCCTGTAATCTCAGGACTTTGGGAGGCCGAGGCGGGTGAATCACCTGAGGTCAGGAGTTTGGGACAAGCCTGGCCAACATGGTAAAACCCCGTCTTGACTAAAAATACAAAAATCAGCCAGGCATGGTGGTGTGCGTCTGTAATCCCAGGTACTCGGGAGGCTGAGGCAGGAGAATCGCTTGAACCCAGGAGGCGGGGTTTGCAGTGAGCCAAGATCAAGCCACTGTGCTCCAGCCTGGGTGAAAGAGCAAGACTCCGTCGAAAGAAAGAAAGGAAGGGAGGAAGGGAGGAAGGGAGGGAGGGAGGGAGGGAGGGAAAGAAAGAAAAAAGAGAAGAGAGGGGAGGGGAGGGAAGAGGAGAAAAGAAGGAAGGAAGGCAGGAAGGAAGGAATCCAGTCGAGATCGTTAAATTTGTTGTAATTTTGTCTTTGGCACAATAAACATTAGTCCTTATTAAAACTAACTTTACTTAGAAAATAAAATAGAAAATCCTCAAGGACAAATCACATTGTACAGGAAATATGAAATGTGAAATAATATCCACCTTGGAAATTTTTTTTTTTTGAAACAGAGTGTTACTCTGTCTCCCAGGCTGGAGTGCAGTGGCACAATCTTGGGTCTCTGCAACCTCTGACTCCTGGGTTCAAGTGATTCTCGTACCTCAGCTTCCCAAGTAGCTGGGATTACAGGCGTGCACCACCACACCCAGCTAATTTTTGTATTTTCATTTCAGATGGGATTTTGCCATGTTGGCCATGAACACCTGTCCTCAAGCTATCCACTGCCTCAGCCTCCCAAAGTGCTGGGATTATAGGCATGAGCTACCGTGCCCAGCCACCCTGGAAAAATTTTACAAAATGAAGTATAAAAAGAAGAAAAGAGGGGCGGGCATGGTGCCTTGTGCGTGTAATCCTAGAACTCTGCAAAGCCGAGGCAGGAGATCCTTTGGGTTTAGGAGTTTGAGACCAACCTGCACAACATAGCAAGACCCTATTTCTACAAAAAATACAGACACTAGGCTGGGCGTGGTGGCTCACGCCTGTAATCCCAGCACTTTGGGAAGCTGAGGCCAGCAGATCACGAGGTCAGGAGATGGAGACCATCCTGGCTAACATAGTGAAACCCTGTCTCTACTAAAAATACAAAAAATTAGCCGGGTGTGGTGGCAGGCGCCTGTAGTCCCAGCTACTCAGGAGGCTGAGGCAGGAGAATGGCGTGAATCCGGGAGGCGGAGCTTGCAGTGAGCCGAGATCGTGCCACTGCACTCCAGCCTGGGAGACAGAGCAAGACTCCGTCTCAAAAAAAAAAAAAATTTTGCTCAGTACCTGGCCAAAAAAGAAGCAGCTCACTCCCTGTACACAGAGGGTAAGAGAAAGGAGATGGTTGAACTTCTAAACTCGCTAAAGCAGGAGAGGCAAATGTGGAATGTGCTCAGGAAATATCTGTGAGATGAATGAATTTGAGGGAAGTAAGGTACTAGATAATTACCTGCCCTACCCAGAACAAATCCTGTGCAACGTTTCCTTGAAGAGCAGGAAGTCAGGCCGGGTGCTGTGGCTCACGCCTGTAATCCCAGCCCTTTGGGAGGCCAAAGTGTGCGAATCACCTGAGGTCAGGAGATTGAGACCAGTCTGGCTAACATGGTGAAACCCCATCTCTACTAAAATACAAAAATTAGCCGGGCGTGGTGGTGCGTGCCTGTAGTCCCAACTACTTGGGAGGCTGAGGCAGGAGAATTGCTTGAACCTGGGAGGCAGAGGTTGCGGTGAGCTGAGATCGGCCACTGCACTCCAGACTGGGTGACAGAGTGAGACATCATCTCAAAAAAACAAAAAAAAAAGAGAAAAGCAGGAAGTCTGGAAGGGGTGGCTACTGACATAGTGAAGCAACTAGTTCAATTCTACAACTTGACAACTACCCCTGTGCCAGGCTGTCTACAAGGATATTTAGAATGTGTAAGACATTCCTTCAAGGAACTCCAGGAACAGAGGCCTGACATGTTGCAATGTTTAGTGTCAAGCAGTGTACTAGAGACACATTATCACACTCAAACCTCACAACAGTTCTATGAGGTAGGAGTTATCACTCCCCTTTTATAGATGAAATAGAGGCTTAGAGTGATTGATTTACTGAAGGTCAAACAGCCAGTAAATGGTGTAGCAAGGATTCCAACCTTGCCGTCTCACTAAAACTGTACAAAAAAAGATACAAACAACAGACAAATAGTTCCCAGGCGCCTCCCAAGTTGCCAGGCACTGCATTTACCTCACTGACCCCTTTGAGGTTGTGGCATTGCCTCCATTTTCTAGGTGAGGAAATAGGCTGAGAGCTGGGGTTAGTCTGGTCATGACTGTGTGTGCCACTCCCACCAAATCTCATTTGATGTGGTTCATGAGGCAAATGGCATGGACAACTTCCTTCACATGTCCACTAAGCATATGGCCTTTTACAACACTTTCTGGTTTCTGAACTACTTTAAAACCTCACTGTCCTGTGAGGAAGGAAGAACAGTTATTACAATCTGCATCTGGAAGCCAATTGCCCTTTAGAGATATGGCTGCAATTGCCTCACTGCCTGTGTCATGTGACTCTCCGAGGCCCTTAATGAGTAAATGAGGGGTGCTGCAGGGGAGCCAAGCTGACCACTCCCCTCCCTCCAGTCCTGCCACCCCACTGCCAGTGTCCCACCCTCCTTGCGCCCTACACTTCACTGGCTAATAACCCCCCTCACTTTTTCCTGTGTTGAAGGCATCCTGGATAATTCCCCACCCACGAATGGTCCCTCCTCATCTCAGAGAGCTCTCCATGCACACCTGTTACTGTTTCTGTTTTTACCTGTAAATATCTGTGTCTGACTTCCATGCTTCATGCACCTCTATAGGGCAAAGACTGTGTCTTAAACATCACGGTAGCCTCAGCATGTTGTGCAATGAAGGTTTTTTTGTTTTTGTTCTTTGTTTTTTTTTTGGTATTAGCTTTATTTGTATCATTTTGAAATTTTTATCAAAAAAGCAGCGTGCCTGCTGTGGTTCCCATCCTCTGGGATTTAGGAATCTTTACCCGATTCTCCATCCAAGTCTGTCTTTCGTATTCTAGGCTCTTCCTAAAGTTGTCATTCACATATACCCTCCAGAATTTTATAGGGTGTATAATCTGTAACAACTCGGAGGAAGCCAATTGCCCTTTAGAAATATGGCTGCAATTGCCTCACTTCCTGTGTCATGTGACTCTCCTAGTCATCACATGACCCATCCACATTGGGAAGCCAGAATTACTTGCAGGAGTAACCTAGTGCCTATAGCTATGGCAGGTACCTGCATCCTTGTTTTTGTTTAGTGGATCCTCTATCCTTCAGAGACTCTGGAACCCCTGTGCTCTTCTCCTCATCTAGTGACCCTGAGGTGATGGAGTTTTCAAGTCCTTCCAGAGAGGTAAGAGAGAGAGCTCCCAATCAGCATTGTCACAGTGCTTCTGGAATCCTGGCACTGGAATTTAATGAATGACAGACTCTCTTTGAATCCAGGGCCATCATGGCTCTTTGAGCAAGGCACAGATGGAGGGAGGGGTCGAAGTTGAAATGGGTGGGAAGAGTGGTGGGGAGCATCCTGATTTGGGGTGGGCAGAGAGTTGTCATCAGAAGGGTTGCAGGGAGAGCTGCACCCAGGTGTCTGTGGGCCTTGTCCTAATGAATGTGGGAGACCAGGCCATGGGCACCCAAAGGCAGCTAAGCCCTGCCCGGGAGAGTAGTTGAGGGGTGGAGAGGGACTTGCTTTTCAGTCATTCCTCATTCTGTCCTCAGGAATGTCCCAAGCCTTCGGGTAGGGTAAGCATCATGGCTGGCAGCCTCACAGGATTGCTTCTACTTCAGGCAGTGTCGTGGGCATCAGATGAGTGAGTCAAGGCAGTGGGGAGGTAGCACAGAGCCTCCCTTCTGCCTCATAGTCCTTTGGTAGCCTTCCAGTAAGCTGGTGGTAGACTTTTAGTAGGTGCTCAATAAATCCTTTTGAGTGACTGAGACCAACTTTGGGGTGAGGATTTTTGAAACCGTCTTCAGTCTCTCCAAACAGCTGTGTCCGTTCTCCACATCCTTGTCAGACCTCACCTCTGCTTGTGCTCCCTCCCTCCCAGGTGGTGCCCCTGCATCCCTAAAAGCTTCAGTACAGCTCGGTGGTCTGTGTCTGCAATGCCACATACTGTGACTCTTGACCCCCCGACCTTTCCTGCCCTAGGTGCCTTCAGCCGCTACAAGAGCAGAAGCAGTGGGCATTGGATGGAGCTGAGTACAGGACCATACAGGCTAATTGCACCGGCACAGGTAACCATTACACCCTTCACCCCCCGGGCCAGGCTGGGTCCTCCTAGAGGTAAACGGTGTCAGTGATCACCATGGAGTTTCTCCCCTGGGCACTGATAACCCTGTGGATGTCCTCAGGCCTGCTACTGATCCTGCAGCCAGAAGTTCCAGAAAGTGAAGGGATTTGGAGGGGCCGTGACAGATGCAGGTGCCCTCAACATCCTTGCCCTGTCACCCCCTGCCCAGAATTTGCTACTTAAATGGTACTTCTCTGAAGAAGATGAGGAGGAAGGGGACAGGATGACATAGAGCCACTGACACTTTTCTTTGCCAATTCTTTGGACCCTGACTTCTGCCCATCCCTGACATTTGGTTCCTGTCTTAATGCCAGTGAAATAAGATTTCGCCGCCTATCATCTGCTAACTGCTACGGACTCAGGCTCAGAAAGGCCTGCGCTTCACCCAGGTGCCAGCCTCCACAGGTTCCAACCCAGGAGCCCAAGTTCCTTTTGGCCCTGACTCAGACACTATTAGGACTGGCAAGTGATAAGCAGAGTCCCATACTCTCCTATTGACTCGGACTACCATATCTTGATCATCCTTTTCTGTAGGAATCGGATATAACATCATCTGGGTACCCATGGCCAGCTGTGACTTCTCCATCCGCACCTACACCTATGCAGACACCCCTGATGATTTCCAGTTGCACAACTTCAGCCTCCCAGAGGAAGATACCAAGCTCAAGGTAGGCATTCTAGCTTTTTCAGGCCCTGAGGGCCCTGATGTCTGGGGGTTGAGAAACTGTAGGGTAGGTCTGCTTGTACAGACATTTTGTCCCCTGCTGTTTTGTCCTGGGGGTGGGAGGGTGGGGGCTAATGGCTGAACCGGATGCACTGGTTGGGCTAGTATGTGTTCCAACTCTGGGTGCTTCTCTCTTCACTACCTTTGTCTCTAGATACCCCTGATTCACCGAGCCCTGCAGTTGGCCCAGCGTCCCGTTTCACTCCTTGCCAGCCCCTGGACATCACCCACTCGGCTCAAGACCAGGGGAGCGGGGAATGGGAAGGGGCCACTCAAGGGACAGCCCAGAGACATCTACCACCAGACCTGGGCCAGATACATTGTGAAGTAAGGGATCAGCAAGGATGTGGGATCAGGACTGGCCTCCCCTTTGGCCATGCTGATCTGTGTCCCAACCCTCAACCTGGTTCCACTTCCAGATCTGCCTGTCCTCAGCTCACCTTTCTACCTTCTGGGCCTTTCAAACTTGGATCTGTCAGTCTTGCCCACTCCATCAGGCTTCCTGTTCTCTCGGTCTGGCCCACTTTCTTGGCTGGATCATTCATGACCTTTCTCTTGCCAGGTTCCTGGATGCCTATGCTGAGCACAAGTTATACAGTTCTGGGCAGTGACAGCTGAAAATGAGCCTTCTGCTGGGCTGTTGAGTGGATACCCCTTCCAGTGCCTGGGCTTCACCCCTGAACATCAGCGAGACTTCATTGCCCGTGACCTAGGTCCTACCCTTGCCAACGGTACTCACCACAATGTCCGCCTACTCATGCTGGATGACCAACGCTTGCTGCTGCCCCACTGGGCAAAGGTGGTAAGGCCTGGACCTCCATGGTGCTCCAGTGACCTTCAAATCCAGCATCCAAATGATTGGCTCCCAAACTTAGAGGGATTTTTCTACCCAACTATGGATCCTAGAGCACCATTCCCCGGGACCTCCAGGGTGCCATGGATCCCACAGTTGGGACTTGAAACCTCTCTAGGCTGGGGGTGGTAGCTCATGGCTATAATTCCAGCACTTTGGGAACCCAAGGTGGGTGGATCACTTGAACCTAAGGAGTTCAAGATGAGCCTGGGAAACATGGTGAAACCCTAACTCTACAAAAAAAAAAATAGAAAAGTTAGCCGGGTGTGGTGGTGGCACGCCTATAGTCCCAAGTATTCTGGAGGCTAAGGCGGGAGGTTTAGTTGAGCCTAGAATTTCAGGCTGCAGTGAGCTATGATTGTGCCACTGTACTCCAGCCTGTGTGACAGAGGGAGACCCTGTCTCAAAAACAAAAACAAAAAATCCCTCCCAAAACCTCTGTAGTTGCATTCTTCCCACCACCTAATTCAGGATTCCTACAAGAGGAACTAGAAGTTCCAGAAGCCTGTGGGCAGGGTCCAGGGTGACTTGTTCTTCCTTTGCAGGTACTGACAGACCCAGAAGCAGCTAAGTATGTTCATGGTATTGCTGTACATTGGTACCTGGACTTTCTGGCTCCAGCCAAAGCCACCCTAAGGGAGACACACCACCTGTTCCCCAACACCATGCTCTTTGCCTCAGAGGCCTGTGTGGGTTCCAAGTTCTGGGAGCAGAGTGTGCGGCTAGGCTCCTGGGATCGAGGGATGCAGTACAGCCACAGCATCATCACAGTAAGCCACCCCAGTCTCCCTTCCTGCAAAGGAGACCTCAGACCCATTAGTAGTCTCACCAAAGACTGATAGAAGCCCTTCCTGTCCAGCTTTCCCCAGGTAGCCTGCCCTTTTGGGCAACTCTGGGGAACCATGATTCCCTGTCTTGCCTTTCCTTCACAGGTCTGCACACCTCATTGCCCCTTTTGCAACTACTGAGGCACTTGCAGCTGCCTCAGACTTCTCAGCTCCCCTTGAGATGCCTGGATCTTCACACCCCCAACTCCTTAGCTACTAAGGAATGTGCCCCTCACAGGGCTGACCTACCCACAGCTGCCTCTCCCACACGTGACCCTTACCTACACTCTCTGGGGACCCCCAGTGTTGCGCCTTTGTCTCCTTGCCTTTGTCCTTACCCTAGAACCTCCTGTACCATGTGGTCGGCTGGACCGACTGGAACCCATCATTGTAGACATCACCAAGCACACGTTTTACAAACAGCCCATGTTCTACCACCTTGGCCACTTCAGGTGAGTGGAGGGCGGGCACCCCCATTCCATACCAGGCCTATCATCTCCTACATCGGATGGCTTACATCACTCTACACCACGAGGGAGCAGGAAGGTGTTCAGGGTGGAACCTCGGAAGAGGCACACCCATCCCCTTTTGCGCCATGGAGGCAGGAAGTGACTAGGTAGCAACAGAAAACCCCAATGCCTGAGGCTGGACTGCGATGCAGAAAAGCAGGGTCAGTGCCCAGCAGCATGGCTCCAGGCCTAGAGAGCCAGGGCAGAGCCTCTGCAGGAGTTATGGGGTGGGTCCGTGGGTGGGTGACTTCTTAGATGAGGGTTTCATGGGAGGTACCCCGAGGGACTCTGACCATCTGTTCCCACATTCAGCAAGTTCATTCCTGAGGGCTCCCAGAGAGTGGGGCTGGTTGCCAGTCAGAAGAACGACCTGGACGCAGTGGCACTGATGCATCCCGATGGCTCTGCTGTTGTGGTCGTGCTAAACCGGTGAGGGCAATGGTGAGGTCTGGGAAGTGGGCTGAAGACAGCGTTGGGGGCCTTGGCAGGATCACACTCTCAGCTTCTCCTCCCTGCTCCCTAGCTCCTCTAAGGATGTGCCTCTTACCATCAAGGATCCTGCTGTGGGCTTCCTGGAGACAATCTCACCTGGCTACTCCATTCACACCTACCTGTGGTGTCGCCAGTGATGGAGCAGATACTCAAGGAGGCACTGGGCTCAGCCTGGGCATTAAAGGGACAGAGTCAGCTCACACGCTGTCTGTGACTAAAGAGGGCACAGCAGGGCCAGTGTGAGCTTACAGCGACGTAAGCCCAGGGGCAATGGTTTGGGTGACTCACTTTCCCCTCTAGGTGGTGCCAGGGGCTGGAGGCCCCTAGAAAAAGATCAGTAAGCCCCAGTGTCCCCCCAGCCCCCATGCTTATGTGAACATGCGCTGTGTGCTGCTTGCTTTGGAAACTGGGCCTGGGTCCAGGCCTAGGGTGAGCTCACTGTCCGTACAAACACAAGATCAGGGCTGAGGGTAAGGAAAAGAAGAGACTAGGAAAGCTGGGCCCAAAACTGGAGACTGTTTGTCTTTCCTGGAGATGCAGAACTGGGCCCGTGGAGCAGCAGTGTCAGCATCAGGGCGGAAGCCTTAAAGCAGCAGCGGGTGTGCCCAGGCACCCAGATGATTCCTATGGCACCAGCCAGGAAAAATGGCAGCTCTTAAAGGAGAAAATGTTTGAGCCCAGTCAGTGTGAGTGGCTTTATTCTGGGTGGCAGCACCCCGTGTCCGGCTGTACCAACAACGAGGAGGCACGGGGGCCTCTGGAATGCATGAGAGTAGAAAAACCAGTCTTGGGAGCGTGAGGACAAATCATTCCTCTTCATCCTCCTCAGCCATGCCCAGGGTCCGGGTGCCTGGGGCCCGAGCAGGCGTTGCCCGCTGGATGGAGACAATGCCGCTGAGCAAGGCGTAGCCCACCATGGCTGCCAGTCCTGCCAGCACAGATAGGATCTGGTTCCGGCGCCGGTATGGCTCCTCCTCAGTCTCTGGGCCTGCTGGTGTCTGGCGTTGCGGTGGTACCTCAGCTGAGGGTCAAGGAAGGAAGGTGTGTTAGGAGAACTAGTTCTTGGATCCCTGCCCACTCTCCCCAGGGCTGCCCCTCCCATCTGCCCCTTACCTCCATCCCAGGGGAAGTAGAGACTGAGAATGTGGGTACAATAGGCACAGAGGTTGTGCAGCCCACGCAGGTGGACCTGCAGCTTCCCACTGGGCAGCTTTGCCTGCAGCAGCAGGGCCAAGTAGCTGAAGACGAAGGCGTCCAAGGAGGCAGGGCTGGAGCAGAGAGAGAAGGGTGGGATGGAGGAGAACCACTGGGGTAGAAGGGGTAAAGATGGAGCTGGAGGAAGAGTCAGCCTTGGGAGGTGGGCTCTGGGCAGCAGGCGGCCACCAGGGAAGGACAGGACACACAGTTCTAGACCTGGTATGGGGAGAGATCCCCAGGTGGCGCCAGCCTGGCCCTGAATAGGGCTCTATCCCAGGGCTGCATAAAGGGCACACTCAGTGCCCCACAGCTCTTCAGGCCCTTCCTGTGCCTGGCTGCCCTCCCACCCTACCCTTTTGTACCTCTGAGAAGGCTCTGGCCCCACGCACAGCCCCACTGTCACCAGGGCCAGTATCTGTCTCAGGGACCTCCTATCCAGAGCCTGAGCCAGCCCCAGCCCCAGCCCCAGCTCCAGCTGCTCCATCTGAACCTGTATCTTCTTCCAAGCCACCCATTACCCTCTTGGAGTCAGACTCACGCATCTCCAAAGAAGAACTTTTGAGAGCCCAGGCGCTGAGAGAGCAGGGTCAGACACTCCCGAGCCTCTCGGTACAGCTGTAGGGGCGACACAGGTAGGCTTGCAGCTGCGGGAACAGTGCCACCTCTGCACCTAAGCACTCCCATTCCTGGCCAGCATCCTTGGGGCTCATCTCATACAATAGCCCCCGGTCTCAGAGCTACCTCCTTCTCCAGCTCTTCCTCGTCCTCAGGCCTGTGCTCCCCAGTCAGCAGCTGTAGCCGTTCCATGTACTGCCGCTGCATGCGGCCAGGCAGGAAGAAGTTGAGGGGAAAGGGCATAGCCTCTGCATACCACTTCCGGGTCACTTCTACGTAGTTCTTGGTGTCTATCCAAAAAGTATGTACCTGGATTGGGTGGGCAGGAAGAAACAGGCAGGTCTGAGCCAGTGCACCTGTCTGATTCAAGGTGGGCTTCTGACCTCCATGCTCTCCTGAGTCTCTGTGTGGGTCTGTGTGTGCCCGTCCCCTCCCCGGCTGGCCATGGATGCTGGGAGGTCTGGGCACACTCACCAGCACCGGGATCAACTTCTCCTCCAGGAGAGACATGAAGGCCAGGGTGTCTGCCCCTTGCTGAGCTGACAGATCATAATCAGCATTGTACTTCTGTGGAGGAAATATCCATGGCGTGGACGCTGGGGAGCTGCAAGGGCACTTCACCAGGGAGGAAGGAGTCCTGTCTGGTACCCCCCTCACTGGCCTCTGAGTGCAGTGGAGGTACAGCAAGGAACTTTTCCTGCCAAGGCCCCCTTGCCTGGGCCCAGCCAGTAGCCTGTTGCTGTTGGCAAAAAGCCTGGGCCTTGGAGCCCGCTGGCCGTCAAGGTCCTGGGCCCATTGAGAAGAAGGAAGAAAGGTTGGGCCGCAAACTAGGAGCAGCTCCCAGAATTTCCATGGAAAGCTGGAACAATGCCTGCTGACAGCAACTTTCTAACAGTAACTTTCCCGACCCAGACACCACAAAGCTAGCACAACGGAGCTCAGATGCAGGCTAGGACTCGGTCCATGCCTCAGGAACCAGGGAAAGCCATCCTCACACTCCCTGGATCCAGGGAACCCACGCCCAGGGCCCCCCAGCTTGTTCCCTCAGTGCCCAGCTCTTGGCTATTTCTTTCACTTCATTCCATCGCCCAGACACCATTACCACATACACATTCCACCCATACCCCCAGGTCTCAGCCTGCCCTACCTTCCCAGGCTCCAGTCCCTGTTCCTCAGCATCCCCCACCACATCCTGAGTAAGCTTTGTCCCCAGATAACCTCTTCAGCATGATCCTTAAATCTCCCTAAGCCTCAGTTTCTCCCCTGTGGAATGGGGGTAAGAATCTCTTTCTCTGAATGCCCCTGTGTTAGGAAATAATTTAGAATACTTCGGAAACAAAAAGCTCTGTTCACACCTAAGCAATCAGGGCAGTGGCCCTGGCCTTGCCAGGAACTTAGGCTTTTATCTGGATCCTCTTTCCAGGCCTCTCAATTAATTCCCCAGGTCCTTAACCTTTGGGAAATTAGAAATTAGGAAGAGTGTCCCACTTCTGACACTGTGTTCCCTCTTGGAACCTGACCGTCAATGCTAGAAGAACCCTTGGAAAACATGCTGGCCCAGCCCTCTAGTTTTACAAATAAGGGAGTGCACAGCCCTGAGAGGTTACATGGCCTGCCCAAGATCACGCAGTCAATGGCAGAGTAAAGAGCATAGCCTAGGCCTCCCCACTCCTCTAGTAATGCTCTTTCATCTTCTCCAACCTGGCTCTAAGCCTTGTCCATCCTGAGCCCCATATCTAGCCCAACCTAGTCCCTGAAAACAAGAAGTGGCCCTTAGAAATCTCTCTCCAGTCCCACTATCAGAGGCCAACTGCTGTCTTCCAGTCTCCTTCAGCCTGTGCTCCTCTCCCTCCCTGACTGACAGGCAGAAGGTACTGTGCCTCTGGATATCCCCACAGTGCCCTGAGCTGCATCTCTTGCTGACTGCTTTAATACATCACAGTGACATTGTGTGTGTCTCTGCCACCAGACTATTGCTCCTTGATGCTCTGGGTCACCTGCATCTAGCATGGCATATATCTAGTGCTCAATAAATGTGTATTGTACAGAATTGACTGAACTTCTCTCACTGGCAGCCCCCTCTATCCAAATCACCCACCTCTTTTTGAAGGTGGGTGATGATCTTGTGTGGTACTGAGGTGACCTCTCCATGACTGGTCCAAAGGGCAGGCAGGGTTCCTGATACTGAGAGAAAAGTATACCAACCAGGACCTTAGCTGCCTATCCATACGTAGTTGCAACACATTCCTGCCTATCTCCTGCTTCTCCTCTTGTACACACCCTTCCTCACCCCCAAGGGATACTGGGTACCTGAAGGGCTCTGCCAGGGGTTGCTGATCTTGTGCTATATGGTGCACAAGAAACTTTTAAGAAAAAAGAAACTTTCAAGACACACTTTCCAACCACGAATTCTATCTCTGCTCCTTTTCATAGCAATAGGTTTTCTTTTTCTTCCCTCCACACTTAAACATCCATTCTCTTATCACCCACCCCCATCAGACTCCTTCCCCTGTGTTTCTTCAGCCACTGCTCTGACCAAAATTTGAGTGACCAAAAGTGGTGTCAGACCCAGTGACCATTTCTCTGCCTGCATTTCACTTGACCTTGAAGCAGCAATTAATCTCCATAATCAGCATCTTCTTGAATTTTTCCCTTTGAGGACATTGCTCTTCTACTTTGTGCTCTGGTTATCCTTTACAAACTTTTACACCTCTCCTGAACTGGTTAACAGTAGAGGGCCCCAAGGGTCTCACGTAAGCCTTCTTTGTTTTTGTTTTTTTTCTTTTATTTTATTTTTTATATATTTTTTTGAGACGGAGTCTTGCTCTGTTGCCCGGGCTGGAGTGCAGTTGCACGATCTCGGCTCACTGCAAGCTCTGCCTCCCAGGTTCATGCTATTCTCCTGCCTCAGCCTCCCGAGTAGCTGGGACTACAGGTGCCTGCCACCATGCCTGGCTAATTTTCTGTATTTTTAACAGAGACAGGGTATCACCATGTTAGCCAGGATGGTCTCGATCTCCTGACCTCGTGATCTGCCCACCTCAGCCTCCCAAAATGCTGGGATTACAGGCGTGAGCCACTGCTCCCAGCCGTCATTTTTATTTTATTTTATTTATTTTTTTGAGATGGAGTCTTGCTCTTTTGCCAGGCTGGAGTGCATGGTGCGATCTCGGCTCATTGCAACCCCCGCCTCCCAGGTTCAAGCGATTCTCCTGCCTCAGCCTCCTGAGTGGCTGGGACTACAGGTGCCTGTCACCATGCCTGGCTAATTTTCTGTATTTTTAGTTGAGACAGGTTTTCACCTTGTTAGCCAGGATGGTCTCGATCTGCTGACCTCGTGATCTGCCTGCGTCGGCCTCCCAAAGTGCTGGGATTACAGGCATGAGCCACTGCACCCGGCCATCAATTTTTTTTTTTTTAAATGGAGTCTTGCTCTGTCACCCGGGTTGGAGTGTAACAGTGCAATCTTGGCTCATTGCAACCTCCGCCTCTTGGGTTCAAGCGATTCTCCTGCCTCAGCCTCCTGAGTAGCTGGGACTACAGGTGCATGCCACCACACCCGGCTAGTTTTTGTATTTTTAGTAGAGACGGGGTTTCACCATGTTGTCCAGGATGGTCTCAAACTCCTGACCTCAAATGATGTGCCTGCCTTGACCTTCCAAAGTGCTGGGATTAGAGGCGTGAACCACATTGCCCACCGTAAGCCCTCTTTTCTACTTCCACTCTTTCTGTAGGTGGCCCTACTACTAACGTCCATGGCTTTAAGTACCATCTTTCTATGTGTTAATGCATAACTCCAGCCTTGACCTCTCTTGAGCGCCATCCAACTCAGCATATCTGGTTGGATGTCTAATGAGTATTTCAAATTCAACATGGCCACAACTGAACTAACTGAACTCTTTTTTTTTTTTTAGGCAGAGTTTTGCTCTTGTTGCCCAGGCTGGAGTGCAATGGCGAGATCTTGGCTCACTGCAACCTCTGCCTCCAGGGTTCAAGCGATTCTCCTGCCTCAGCCTCCCGAGTAGATGGGATTATAGGCCCCGCTACCCGGCTAATGTTTTTGTATTTTTAGTAGAGACAGGGTGTTGCCATATTGACCAGGCTGGTCTGCAAATCCTGACCTCAGGTGATCCCCCTGCCTCGGCCTCCCAAAGTGCTGGAATTACAGGCGTGAGTCACTGCGCCCGGCCACACAACTGAGCTCTTCATTCCCACCCCAGCACCGGTTATTTTTCCACTGTTCCCATCTCAATGGCACCTCCATTACCCATTTGCACATTCCAAAAGCCCAGGAACCATGGTGACTTCTTTTCCCATATCCAACACAACCAATCCTATCTTGAATTCATCCACGTCCCACCACCTCCCCAGCTACCTAGTTCCAGCCACCCTCTCTCCACAACCTCTGAATCAATCTTTCACTTTTCCCAGCAATCCATTCTCCACTCAGCAAAATGATGATAAAGCACGTCACATCAAGGCTCTGCCTCAATTTAATGGCTTCCCATTGTATTTAGAATCATCTCCAAGCTCTCAGAGACTATGGTCAGCTACAATCTGGCCCACCTTCTGTTCCAGCCAAATTTCCTCACAGCACAAGGACGTTTGCACCTGCTATTTTCCAAGCACGAAACCCTCGGGCAGATATATCTGGTGCTGTCACCTAATTTCAGGTTTTAACTCCACTCTCACCATTTCAGTGAGGACCTAATCCCCATCGCAGTCATTCTATCACATAGCTTTATTTTATTTTATTTTATTTTTTTTTGAGATACAGTCTGGCTCTCTCACCCAGGCTGGAGTGCAGTGGTGTGATCTGGGCTCACTGCAAACTTCCATCTCCTGCGTTCAAGCGATTCTCCTGCCTCAGCTTCCCGAGTAGCTGGGATTACAGGTGTCTGCCATCACGCCTGACTAAGTTTTGTATTTTCAGTAGAGACGGGGTTTTGCCATGTTAGCCAGGCTGGTCTCGAACTCCTTGACCTCAAGTGATCCACCTGCCTCAGCCTCCCACAATGTTGGATTTACAGGCGTGAGCCACTGCTCCCGGCCACATAGCCATGTTTTAAGCATGTATCACTATCTAAAATTATTTTTTGTTTATACGTTTGTGTCGTCCTGTAGAATGTAAGGTCACAAGATCAGGGACTTGCTCATTGCACTGGGTCTAACACACAGTGCTTCCTCAACAAACACTCGTTAAGATACTAACGTGGCAGAGTGGGGCCTTGTAAACAGTTTCAGGACCCTGTGCTTGTAAGAGCAACGTGGTGCCCTCCCAAGGAAGACAGGGACGATGCAGGAGCACTGCCCAGAGATGGCGTCAGGCTGCAAGACATCTTGAATAATTCACCATCGTAACAACCCAGCCTCAGGAAGAGATGGGGCAAGGCCAGAACGAAACATTAGGTAAGAGGCGGTGGACAATGGGATTCCCACAGGGCAGCTTTTGGGCACTGGACGTTCCCTAACCTGAGGCTCTCTGAAGAGGAAGGTTAGGAATCCTCTGAGCTTCGGTGGGCTGGACTCACTGTGGGAATTCAATCGCCCCCCCCACCCACTAAGGGTGTGCTGGCGGGAAAGCGCTGAGACGCATGCGTAGTTCTCGCGTCTGGCACCCGCTCCCTTTCCAATACGCTTGCGCCCCATCTGTGCTACGGATGGTCAGGGAGAGTTGTCCGTCTTCAAATGGACCAATGAGACTTGTGGAGGGGCTCTGAGTCCCGCCTCTGGATGAGTGACCGTCTCTTTTCCAAGTGAGGCCCCGCCCCGCCTCCCCAGGGCTGCTTTTCTCGCGGCACGGGTGGTGGGGCTGCTTCTTGACTTCCGCGCCTAGTGCGCGGGGCCCCATTCTCCAGTCCCGCCCACGCGCCTTTGGAGGCTGCGGTGGGATTTCCTTTTGCCTTCGGTTGGGGCTGCTGTTTCTCTTCGCCGACGGTAGGCATTATAAATATTTCGCCCTTTGAATTTTAGCTCTCCCCTCCCGGCGTTCGCACTTAGCCTTTTTCATCATTATCATTATTTTTAATGGTAAGGATGGTCAAATTTTACTAATGAAGCGATTATAAAATCTTCAAGTCTTTGTATCCACTTGCTTTTTGAGGGCTGGAGTGGGAAGAAAGGTATATAATTCATTCATTCTTCGGACATGTGACAAACGTTCACGGAGCGCGGCAACGAGCGCCGGTGTCGCGATGCGCACTGGGGCTGCACATGGGAGCCAGGATGGACTGGACTGGTCCCTGCCCTGCCCGCTGACGATTGGCAGGCCACTGCCTTTGATGAGCTGGGCGCTATAACTGCCATTAAGCCATTTGTACAATTAATCACAACAGTGATAAGAGCGACAAAGGAGCTATTCGGGTGGCTGAGGCGGGAGGATCTTTTGAGCCCAGGAGTTCGAGACCAGCCTGGGGAATAGAGCGAGATCCTGTCTCAAAAAAAGGGGGAGAAAAAGTGACAAAGAAGTTGTGAGGGCTATGAGTTTGCGTTAGAGGAGGTGTGTGAGGTGGGGAGGCGGCAGGGGGCGCGGTTGTTCTTAGAGAAAGTGACATCCGGGCTAATTTTGAAAGAATAAGTGTTAACTAGGCTAAGCGGTGGGAAAGAGTAGTGTGTGCTGAAGGAAGGGAAGAGGAACCTGGCAAGTTCATGGCAGGCTGTAATTGGATGCTGGTCTCCCTCCACACTTGACTCCTACAGTCTGATTTCTACACAGCACCCAAAGTGATCTCTTAAAAATACACATGTGATCTTGTCACTTCCCAGCACCAAACTCTACAGTGAATTTCCATCTTAGAACAAAATTCAGACTCCTTACCATGGCCACCAAGACCCTACACAATCTGGCCTCCCAATTTCCTTTTCCAAGGTCACCTTTTACCACTATCCATCTCACTCACACTGCTCCAGCACTCTCTATGCTTTTATTTTTCTTTCTTCCTCTTTCTTTCTTTCTTTCTTTTTCTTTTTCTTTCTTTCTTTCCTTCCTTCTCTCTCTCTCTCTTTCTTTTCTTTTCTCTTTCTTTTTTTTTTTTTGAGATGCAGTCTTGCTCTGTCACCCAGGTGGTGTGATCTTGGCTCACTGCAACCCAGAGCAGTGGGGGTGATCTTGGCTCACTGCAGCCTCCGCCTTCCAGGTTCAAGCAATTCTGCCTCAGCCTCCTGAGTAGCAGGGATTAGCGCCATCAGTCCCAGCTAATTTTTGTATTTTTAGTAGAGATTTCATCATGTTGTCCAGGCTGGTCTCGAACTCCTGACTTCAAGTGATCTGCCCATCTCAGCCTCCTAAAGTGCTGAGATTACAGGCAGGAGCCACCACACCTGGCTCAGTATTTGTTTTATTTTTGTTGTGTTTATTTATTTAGAGACAAGGTCTTGCTCTGTTGCTCAGGCTGGAGTGCTGTGGCAGGAACACAGCTCACTGCAGCCTCCACTACCTCAATTCAGGCGATCCTCCCACCTCAGCTGAGACTACAGGTGTGCATCACCATGCCTGGTTAATTTTTTCGTTTTACCATGTTGGCCAGGTTTGTCTCGAACTCTTGGGCTCTGCTGTCCTCCTACCTTAGCCTCCCAAAGTGCTAGGATTGTAGGCGTGAGCCACTGTGCCCAGCTGGTGTTCAGTATTTGAATCCATATTTCCTGTAGCCGCAACCAAAGTTCCACTGTTAGGTCTCACTTTGACTTTAATAATTGTGTTCAGGCTGGGCACACTGGCTCAAGCCTGTAATCTCAGCAGTTTGGGAGGCCGAGGTGGGTGGATCACATGAGGTCAGGTGTTTGAGACCAGCCTGTCCAACATGGCGAAACCCTGTCTCTACTAAAAATACAAAACATTCTCCGATCGTAGTGGCGGGCGCCTGTAATCCCAGCTACTTGGGAGGCTGAAGCAGGAGAATTGCTTGAACCTGGGAGGCAGAGGTTGCAGTGAGCGGAGATCACGTCATTGCACTCCAGCCTGGGCTACAGAGCGAGACTCTGTCTCAATAAGTAAATAAATAAATAAATAAATAAATAAATAAATAATTGTGTTCGGAGTCAGCATCATTCTTCCTGAAGTTCACCACTCCTTTGCCAAGAACACTTCCTGAAACACTGACAAGCAGGACCTTGAATAGTGGGGTATGGTTGGTAACAACTCACTCATTCAACAAACATTGAGCACCTATTTTGTGCTTGCCTCTAAATGAAGAGCTGGTTGTATTATTTATTTTTTTAGGTGACAGGGCTTTCCCTATGTTGCCCAGGTTCGTCTCAAACTCCTGGGCTCAAAAGATCCTCATCTTCTCAAGTGGTTGAATATACACGCTCCAGCGACCATGCCTGGCTGAATGAAGAGCTTTGAGATTTTGAAGAAACAGGAACCATGAAATTTGCTTTGCAACTGTTTGCAACCTTTAAGGAAGACTGAAAAGGCATTCCTGAAGCATGTGAGAAGCAGTCTGTGTGACCTGATGACTCAGAACTGCTTGGAATTTAGATTAGGACAGATATGAGCTTAGGCTTCACTCTGCCACATATTTAACTTCTCTAAGTCTTAGTTTTCTTTTCTTTTTTTTTTTTTTTGAGATGGAGTCTCGCTCTGTCACCCAGGCTGGAGTGCAGTGGCACGATCTTGGCTCACTGCAAGCTCCGCCTCCCGGGTTCACGCCATCCTCCTGCCTCAGCCACCCGAGTAGCGGGGACTACAGTCGCACACCGCCACGCCTGGCTAAATTTTTGTATTTTTAGTAGAGACGGGGTTTCACCGTGTTAGCCAGGATGGTCTCGATCTCCTAACCTTGTGATCCGCCCGCTTCGGCCTCCCAAAGTGTTGGGATTACAGGTGTGAGCCATCGCGTCTGGCCTCTAAGTCTTAATTTTCTTATCTGTAATGTAGAGTTGTCAGGCTAGTGCATGTAATAAGCACTCATGAAAGACTGACTATTATCTTGCGAAAAATTGGAAGAGATCATGAGGTACAAGGACCTTCCATCTGCACTGGGCTGTACATTGAATGTTGTGGTTACTGTTGAAGCATTGGTAAATCACATGAATCCAATGGTAAAACCACACCCTAAGGTCAGACTCAGTGGCTCACGCCTGTAATTCCAGCACTTTGGGAAACCAAGGCAAGAGGATTGCTTGAGCTCAGGAGTTCGATACCAGTCTAGGCAACCTGTTTCTATAAAAAGTTAAAAAATTAGCTTGGTGTGGTGGTGTGCACTTCTGGTCCCAGCTACTCAGGAGGCTAAGGTGGGAGGATCCCTTGAGCCCAGGTGGTCGAGGCTGCAGTGAGCCAGGATCACACCATTGCATTCCAGCCTGGATGACAGTGTGAGGCCCTGTCTTAAAAAAGACAAAAACAAACCAAAAAAACCCACACCCTAGTGGGTAAGGGGCAGCAGAGGTCCCACCCAAGAGTGAAATCATTTTTGGTGTCAGTAATCAGGGAGAGTAATATACCCTCAGGCCAGAAACTAGAGGTGAGTGATGGCTCACGCCTATAATCCCAGCACCTTGGGAGGCTGAGGCAGGTGGATTGCTTGACCTCAGGAATTCGAGACCAGCCTGGGCAACATAGCAAGACCCCATCTCTAAAAATAAATTTCAAAAATTAGTTGGGCATGGTGGCATGTACCTGTAGTCCCAGCTACTATGGAGGCTGAGGTGGGAGGATCCAATTGAGCCTGAGAGGTCAAAGCTGCAGTGAATTGTGATTGTGCCAAGACCCTGTCTCTAAAATAAAATAAAATTACAATTAAAAACTAGAGCTGAAAGGACAGGTTCTAGGTTAACTGGTAGTAGTTGTTCATTCATCTGTATAAAAAGTACTTTTTTGAGCACCTACTCTGTGCTGTGCATGGAATGAACAAATGTCTTTATTTGACTTGAACACAGACCATAGAAGTAACTAACAGTGGAACTGGGAGTGGCACTCTCCATGGGACCTAAAGACCTAGGAGCCTGTGATATGATACCTGTCAGTGTGAAAGGGCTGGAGTTTGCTATCTGAGCCAGACCTACACTCCAAGACAGGTCTTGCTGGGATGGGATCAAAATTGCTGCTGGGTCAGCCGAACTATTTTTGTACTTCTGCTTTTCACTTATATTTATGTCTTCCCTAGGTATATAGCTGTCTTTTTTTGTTTGCTTGTTTTTCTGAGTCAGAGTCTTGCTCTGTCACTCAGGCTGGAGTGCAGTGGCGCGTCTCGGCTCACTGCAACATCCACCTCGGGTTCAAACGATTCTCCTGCCTCAGATTCCCGAGTAGCTAGGATTACAGGTGCCCACCACCATGCCCGGCTAATTTTTTGTATTTTTAATAGAGATGGGGTTTAGTAGAGACAGGGTTTCACTGTGTTATCCAGGATGGTCTCCATCTCCTGACCTCGTGATCTGCCCGCCTCAGCTTCCCAAAGTGCTGGGATTACAGGCATGAGCCACTGCGCCCGGCCACTGGAGACCCCTTTTCTACCAAAAAAAATAAAAATAAATAAATAAATATATATATATATTTGTAAAGACGGAGTCTCTCTATGTTGCCCAGGCTGGTCTTGAACTCCTGGCCTCAAGGGATCCTCTTGTCTCAGCTTCTTAAAATGATGGGGTTACAGGCATGAGCCACCGTACCAGGCCTTAGCAAACTCTTTTTCAAGTGCTATACAAAGGGGACAGAGGAACGTGATTGTGGCCACCTAGTATGCCCCTATTGGCCACTGCAGTGAGGCCTAGGTGTTTGAAGAGAGGCACCTAGGGTAGTGGCTCTCAGGCACACCCTAGGGGCATTTTGGAAATTTGTGGGGCATCTTTAATAGAGACAATGATTAGGAGGCACTTTGAGAATTTAGTGGATGGAGCCCAGGAAAGGTAGACATTCTGCAACATGTAGTACATTCATACACAAGGAAGAATTCACTCATTTCACCTGACTTACAAATATAAAATCAAATATAAATCAGTAGGACTTTATTATAAAATATTGCAGAAAAGTTTCACAAGAATTTTTTGTAGAAAAAGCCCAATCAGGGCCGGGCATGGTGGCTCATGCCTGTAATCTCAGGACTTTGGGAGGCCGAGGCGGGTGAATCACCTGAGGTCAGGAGTTTGGGACAAGCCTGGCCAACATGGTAAAACCCCGTCTTGACTAAAAATACAAAAATCAGCCAGGCATGGTGGTGTGCGTCTGTAATCCCAGGTACTCGGGAGGCTGAGGCAGGAGAATCGCTTGAACCCAGGAGGCGGGGTTTGCAGTGAGCCAAGATCAAGCCACTGTGCTCCAGCCTGGGTGAAAGAGCAAGACTCCGTCGAAAGAAAGAAAGGAAGGGAGGAAGGGAGGAAGGGAGGGAGGGAGGGAGGGAGGGAAAGAAAGAAAAAAGAGAAGAGAGGGGAGGGGAGGGAAGAGGAGAAAAGAAGGAAGGAAGGCAGGAAGGAAGGAATCCAGTCGAGATCGTTAAATTTGTTGTAATTTTGTCTTTGGCACAATAAACATTAGTCCTTATTAAAACTAACTTTACTTAGAAAATAAAATAGAAAATCCTCAAGGACAAATCACATTGTACAGGAAATATGAAATGTGAAATAATATCCACCTTGGAAATTTTTTTTTTTTGAAACAGAGTGTTACTCTGTCTCCCAGGCTGGAGTGCAGTGGCACAATCTTGGGTCTCTGCAACCTCTGACTCCTGGGTTCAAGTGATTCTCGTACCTCAGCTTCCCAAGTAGCTGGGATTACAGGCGTGCACCACCACACCCAGCTAATTTTTGTATTTTCATTTCAGATGGGATTTTGCCATGTTGGCCATGAACACCTGTCCTCAAGCTATCCACTGCCTCAGCCTCCCAAAGTGCTGGGATTATAGGCATGAGCTACCGTGCCCAGCCACCCTGGAAAAATTTTACAAAATGAAGTATAAAAAGAAGAAAAGAGGGGCGGGCATGGTGCCTTGTGCGTGTAATCCTAGAACTCTGCAAAGCCGAGGCAGGAGATCCTTTGGGTTTAGGAGTTTGAGACCAACCTGCACAACATAGCAAGACCCTATTTCTACAAAAAATACAGACACTAGGCTGGGCGTGGTGGCTCACGCCTGTAATCCCAGCACTTTGGGAAGCTGAGGCCAGCAGATCACGAGGTCAGGAGATGGAGACCATCCTGGCTAACATAGTGAAACCCTGTCTCTACTAAAAATACAAAAAATTAGCCGGGTGTGGTGGCAGGCGCCTGTAGTCCCAGCTACTCAGGAGGCTGAGGCAGGAGAATGGCGTGAATCCGGGAGGCGGAGCTTGCAGTGAGCCGAGATCGTGCCACTGCACTCCAGCCTGGGAGACAGAGCAAGACTCCGTCTCAAAAAAAAAAAAAATTTTGCTCAGTACCTGGCCAAAAAAGAAGCAGCTCACTCCCTGTACACAGAGGGTAAGAGAAAGGAGATGGTTGAACTTCTAAACTCGCTAAAGCAGGAGAGGCAAATGTGGAATGTGCTCAGGAAATATCTGTGAGATGAATGAATTTGAGGGAAGTAAGGTACTAGATAATTACCTGCCCTACCCAGAACAAATCCTGTGCAACGTTTCCTTGAAGAGCAGGAAGTCAGGCCGGGTGCTGTGGCTCACGCCTGTAATCCCAGCCCTTTGGGAGGCCAAAGTGTGCGAATCACCTGAGGTCAGGAGATTGAGACCAGTCTGGCTAACATGGTGAAACCCCATCTCTACTAAAATACAAAAATTAGCCGGGCGTGGTGGTGCGTGCCTGTAGTCCCAACTACTTGGGAGGCTGAGGCAGGAGAATTGCTTGAACCTGGGAGGCAGAGGTTGCGGTGAGCTGAGATCGGCCACTGCACTCCAGACTGGGTGACAGAGTGAGACATCATCTCAAAAAAACAAAAAAAAAAGAGAAAAGCAGGAAGTCTGGAAGGGGTGGCTACTGACATAGTGAAGCAACTAGTTCAATTCTACAACTTGACAACTACCCCTGTGCCAGGCTGTCTACAAGGATATTTAGAATGTGTAAGACATTCCTTCAAGGAACTCCAGGAACAGAGGCCTGACATGTTGCAATGTTTAGTGTCAAGCAGTGTACTAGAGACACATTATCACACTCAAACCTCACAACAGTTCTATGAGGTAGGAGTTATCACTCCCCTTTTATAGATGAAATAGAGGCTTAGAGTGATTGATTTACTGAAGGTCAAACAGCCAGTAAATGGTGTAGCAAGGATTCCAACCTTGCCGTCTCACTAAAACTGTACAAAAAAAGATACAAACAACAGACAAATAGTTCCCAGGCGCCTCCCAAGTTGCCAGGCACTGCATTTACCTCACTGACCCCTTTGAGGTTGTGGCATTGCCTCCATTTTCTAGGTGAGGAAATAGGCTGAGAGCTGGGGTTAGTCTGGTCATGACTGTGTGTGCCACTCCCACCAAATCTCATTTGATGTGGTTCATGAGGCAAATGGCATGGACAACTTCCTTCACATGTCCACTAAGCATATGGCCTTTTACAACACTTTCTGGTTTCTGAACTACTTTAAAACCTCACTGTCCTGTGAGGAAGGAAGAACAGTTATTACAATCTGCATCTGGAAGCCAATTGCCCTTTAGAGATATGGCTGCAATTGCCTCACTGCCTGTGTCATGTGACTCTCCGAGGCCCTTAATGAGTAAATGAGGGGTGCTGCAGGGGAGCCAAGCTGACCACTCCCCTCCCTCCAGTCCTGCCACCCCACTGCCAGTGTCCCACCCTCCTTGCGCCCTACACTTCACTGGCTAATAACCCCCCTCACTTTTTCCTGTGTTGAAGGCATCCTGGATAATTCCCCACCCACGAATGGTCCCTCCTCATCTCAGAGAGCTCTCCATGCACACCTGTTACTGTTTCTGTTTTTACCTGTAAATATCTGTGTCTGACTTCCATGCTTCATGCACCTCTATAGGGCAAAGACTGTGTCTTAAACATCACGGTAGCCTCAGCATGTTGTGCAATGAAGGTTTTTTTGTTTTTGTTCTTTGTTTTTTTTTTGGTATTAGCTTTATTTGTATCATTTTGAAATTTTTATCAAAAAAGCAGCGTGCCTGCTGTGGTTCCCATCCTCTGGGATTTAGGAATCTTTACCCGATTCTCCATCCAAGTCTGTCTTTCGTATTCTAGGCTCTTCCTAAAGTTGTCATTCACATATACCCTCCAGAATTTTATAGGGTGTATAATCTGTAACAACTCGGAGGAAGCCAATTGCCCTTTAGAAATATGGCTGCAATTGCCTCACTTCCTGTGTCATGTGACTCTCCTAGTCATCACATGACCCATCCACATTGGGAAGCCAGAATTACTTGCAGGAGTAACCTAGTGCCTATAGCTATGGCAGGTACCTGCATCCTTGTTTTTGTTTAGTGGATCCTCTATCCTTCAGAGACTCTGGAACCCCTGTGCTCTTCTCCTCATCTAGTGACCCTGAGGTGATGGAGTTTTCAAGTCCTTCCAGAGAGGTAAGAGAGAGAGCTCCCAATCAGCATTGTCACAGTGCTTCTGGAATCCTGGCACTGGAATTTAATGAATGACAGACTCTCTTTGAATCCAGGGCCATCATGGCTCTTTGAGCAAGGCACAGATGGAGGGAGGGGTCGAAGTTGAAATGGGTGGGAAGAGTGGTGGGGAGCATCCTGATTTGGGGTGGGCAGAGAGTTGTCATCAGAAGGGTTGCAGGGAGAGCTGCACCCAGGTGTCTGTGGGCCTTGTCCTAATGAATGTGGGAGACCAGGCCATGGGCACCCAAAGGCAGCTAAGCCCTGCCCGGGAGAGTAGTTGAGGGGTGGAGAGGGACTTGCTTTTCAGTCATTCCTCATTCTGTCCTCAGGAATGTCCCAAGCCTTCGGGTAGGGTAAGCATCATGGCTGGCAGCCTCACAGGATTGCTTCTACTTCAGGCAGTGTCGTGGGCATCAGATGAGTGAGTCAAGGCAGTGGGGAGGTAGCACAGAGCCTCCCTTCTGCCTCATAGTCCTTTGGTAGCCTTCCAGTAAGCTGGTGGTAGACTTTTAGTAGGTGCTCAATAAATCCTTTTGAGTGACTGAGACCAACTTTGGGGTGAGGATTTTTGAAACCGTCTTCAGTCTCTCCAAACAGCTGTGTCCGTTCTCCACATCCTTGTCAGACCTCACCTCTGCTTGTGCTCCCTCCCTCCCAGGTGGTGCCCCTGCATCCCTAAAAGCTTCAGTACAGCTCGGTGGTCTGTGTCTGCAATGCCACATACTGTGACTCTTGACCCCCCGACCTTTCCTGCCCTAGGTGCCTTCAGCCGCTACAAGAGCAGAAGCAGTGGGCATTGGATGGAGCTGAGTACAGGACCATACAGGCTAATTGCACCGGCACAGGTAACCATTACACCCTTCACCCCCCGGGCCAGGCTGGGTCCTCCTAGAGGTAAACGGTGTCAGTGATCACCATGGAGTTTCTCCCCTGGGCACTGATAACCCTGTGGATGTCCTCAGGCCTGCTACTGATCCTGCAGCCAGAAGTTCCAGAAAGTGAAGGGATTTGGAGGGGCCGTGACAGATGCAGGTGCCCTCAACATCCTTGCCCTGTCACCCCCTGCCCAGAATTTGCTACTTAAATGGTACTTCTCTGAAGAAGATGAGGAGGAAGGGGACAGGATGACATAGAGCCACTGACACTTTTCTTTGCCAATTCTTTGGACCCTGACTTCTGCCCATCCCTGACATTTGGTTCCTGTCTTAATGCCAGTGAAATAAGATTTCGCCGCCTATCATCTGCTAACTGCTACGGACTCAGGCTCAGAAAGGCCTGCGCTTCACCCAGGTGCCAGCCTCCACAGGTTCCAACCCAGGAGCCCAAGTTCCTTTTGGCCCTGACTCAGACACTATTAGGACTGGCAAGTGATAAGCAGAGTCCCATACTCTCCTATTGACTCGGACTACCATATCTTGATCATCCTTTTCTGTAGGAATCGGATATAACATCATCTGGGTACCCATGGCCAGCTGTGACTTCTCCATCCGCACCTACACCTATGCAGACACCCCTGATGATTTCCAGTTGCACAACTTCAGCCTCCCAGAGGAAGATACCAAGCTCAAGGTAGGCATTCTAGCTTTTTCAGGCCCTGAGGGCCCTGATGTCTGGGGGTTGAGAAACTGTAGGGTAGGTCTGCTTGTACAGACATTTTGTCCCCTGCTGTTTTGTCCTGGGGGTGGGAGGGTGGGGGCTAATGGCTGAACCGGATGCACTGGTTGGGCTAGTATGTGTTCCAACTCTGGGTGCTTCTCTCTTCACTACCTTTGTCTCTAGATACCCCTGATTCACCGAGCCCTGCAGTTGGCCCAGCGTCCCGTTTCACTCCTTGCCAGCCCCTGGACATCACCCACTCGGCTCAAGACCAGGGGAGCGGGGAATGGGAAGGGGCCACTCAAGGGACAGCCCAGAGACATCTACCACCAGACCTGGGCCAGATACATTGTGAAGTAAGGGATCAGCAAGGATGTGGGATCAGGACTGGCCTCCCCTTTGGCCATGCTGATCTGTGTCCCAACCCTCAACCTGGTTCCACTTCCAGATCTGCCTGTCCTCAGCTCACCTTTCTACCTTCTGGGCCTTTCAAACTTGGATCTGTCAGTCTTGCCCACTCCATCAGGCTTCCTGTTCTCTCGGTCTGGCCCACTTTCTTGGCTGGATCATTCATGACCTTTCTCTTGCCAGGTTCCTGGATGCCTATGCTGAGCACAAGTTATACAGTTCTGGGCAGTGACAGCTGAAAATGAGCCTTCTGCTGGGCTGTTGAGTGGATACCCCTTCCAGTGCCTGGGCTTCACCCCTGAACATCAGCGAGACTTCATTGCCCGTGACCTAGGTCCTACCCTTGCCAACGGTACTCACCACAATGTCCGCCTACTCATGCTGGATGACCAACGCTTGCTGCTGCCCCACTGGGCAAAGGTGGTAAGGCCTGGACCTCCATGGTGCTCCAGTGACCTTCAAATCCAGCATCCAAATGATTGGCTCCCAAACTTAGAGGGATTTTTCTACCCAACTATGGATCCTAGAGCACCATTCCCCGGGACCTCCAGGGTGCCATGGATCCCACAGTTGGGACTTGAAACCTCTCTAGGCTGGGGGTGGTAGCTCATGGCTATAATTCCAGCACTTTGGGAACCCAAGGTGGGTGGATCACTTGAACCTAAGGAGTTCAAGATGAGCCTGGGAAACATGGTGAAACCCTAACTCTACAAAAAAAAAAATAGAAAAGTTAGCCGGGTGTGGTGGTGGCACGCCTATAGTCCCAAGTATTCTGGAGGCTAAGGCGGGAGGTTTAGTTGAGCCTAGAATTTCAGGCTGCAGTGAGCTATGATTGTGCCACTGTACTCCAGCCTGTGTGACAGAGGGAGACCCTGTCTCAAAAACAAAAACAAAAAATCCCTCCCAAAACCTCTGTAGTTGCATTCTTCCCACCACCTAATTCAGGATTCCTACAAGAGGAACTAGAAGTTCCAGAAGCCTGTGGGCAGGGTCCAGGGTGACTTGTTCTTCCTTTGCAGGTACTGACAGACCCAGAAGCAGCTAAGTATGTTCATGGTATTGCTGTACATTGGTACCTGGACTTTCTGGCTCCAGCCAAAGCCACCCTAAGGGAGACACACCACCTGTTCCCCAACACCATGCTCTTTGCCTCAGAGGCCTGTGTGGGTTCCAAGTTCTGGGAGCAGAGTGTGCGGCTAGGCTCCTGGGATCGAGGGATG